>NC_000009.12:30616060-30767575 GCF_000001405.40 Homo sapiens | reverse complement strand
TAGCAGAATATTTCATCTCATACATGGTAAAAAAAATGTAACTTTCCTCAGCAGGAAAATAACAGAACTAGTATTAGTAAATAAAAAGTCACTCATCTCTACTTTCACAATATTAGATTATTTTATTGTTTTGGTCACTTAAGTTTTATGTTTACAAACTCTAGATCTTTCTTTCAGGTACACTTCTTTATTAAAAGCAGGATGTAACTATACTTCAAAAGTGAAAGCATAGAAACATTTAAGACATATACTCAATTCAAGCCAAACAATTCTGTTCAACTTGGTCTCTGTAGACTCATTTCTGCATTTCAAAATAAGGCAACAATAGACCTTTAAAACATAGTTGTGAGAAAGTGGAAGTCAGGCTTTTAAAATCCTCTATGAAGGAAGCTGAGTCTATAGTTTTTTGCTACTTGGGTTTCATATGAGTTTGAAAGATATACCATCATGTAAGGTTATTGTGAAGTTTCAAACTATTTTTACTAAAAATCTAGAAATATTTCAATTTGAGTTGTCTTCTTCTTATTGTTTATATTCACTATTTTAGAACATATTTATAATTACTCAAAATAAAATTTGTTATTGCTGAAAGAAAGACTATATATGATCCTAGCATCTTGGGGTTGCAGAACATGTAACAGGTTATATTATGAAGTTTTAACACATTTTTCTATCCCAGTGGTCAGCAAACTACAGCCTGCAGACCAAATCTAGGCCACTCCCTGTTTTAGTCAAGTATTAAGGGAATACAATCATAACTATTAAGTTCTGCGTTTTCTATGGCTGCTTTTGTATTTCAGTGGCTCAGATGAGCGGCTGCAACAGAGACTGAATGTCCTGCAAATCCTACAGTATTATTGTCTGGCCTTTTCCAGAACACATTTACTGAACCCTGTTATATTTAATAATACTTAATATGCATACTTGCTGCATAGGAGAAGAGAGGTGGGGGAGGTGCTACACACTTTTAAACAACCAGATCTCATGAGAATTCACTCACTATAAAGACACTATCACGACACAGCACCATGAGGGAAATCTACCCTCATGATCCAATCACCTTACACCAAGCCCCAACTCCAACACTGGGGATTACAACTCCACATGAGATTTGGGCAGGAACAGAGATTTAAATAATATCAAATCAAATATATAAATTGAGAAAGCATAAATGGAAATTTGGAGAAATACAGTTGAAGTGTACTTTTTTTTAAATTTTTCTTTGCCTTTATTATTTTCTTTGTGATCTAAGATGTGTTGTCATCTCTTTAAAATAACCTGTTATAACTATTATATGCTTTTTGTAAGCCTCATGGTAACTGAAGCATAAGCACCTATAATAGATTTGCTAAAAATAGAGTAATAAATTAAAATATAGTACCAGAAAACCACTTAACCACAGAAAAAGTCAGCAAAAAAAGGAAAAAAGAAAGAGTGGAGTTAATAAACAAACAGAAAACAGACAACAAAAAGTTCTTACTTATTATTAATTACACAGTGTATATGGACTGAGTTTTCTGATTAAAAGACATAGAGTGGTTGAATGGATATAAATATGCAAAATTATATGCTGCCTACAAGAAACCCACTGTACCTATAAAGACACAAATTAAATAAAAACGAAGGTGAGGGAAAAGATATTCCATGCAACTTAAAACCAAAAAAGAGCAGAATTAGCTATACTTATAGTAGATAAAATAGGTTGCAAATCAATGTGTGATTCACCTTATAAACAGAATTAAAAATAAAAACCACATGATTATCTCAATAGATGCAGAAAAAAGCATTTAATTAAATGCAACATCCCTTCATGATAAAAACCTTCAACAAACTAGGCATTGAAGGAATATACCTCAAAGTAACAAGAGCTATCTATTAAAAACCCATTGCCAATATCATGCTTAATGGGAAAAAAGCATATCCTTTGATGACAGACACAAGACAAGGATGCCCACTCTTATTCAACATAGTACTGGAAGTTGTAGGCAGAGCATTTAGGCAAGAGAAAGAAATCAAAGGCCTGTAAATAGGAAAAAAAATAAGTCAAATAATCTCTTTTTGCTGACAATGTGATTCCATATCTAGCAATTTTTTGTTATTTTCCGACGAGAGCAGAAAGTCAGCTGCTTCTAAACCATCATTTTGCAACCAGCCTTTTAAAATAAATCCTGAAGAGCAAATGAGAATTTCTAAATAGAAAACAAAGGGTAAAATATGTGAAGAAAAGTTAGAGAAGGGAATTCTATTCCCAAGAAACAAGCATGTGCAAACTCATGGGGTGTGGTCTATACTGGAAATAAAAGGGTGTCAACAATGTTGAATTGTATGGGATGAAGACAGTTGGGAATCAGAGACTCAGACACTAGACTGAGTTCAAAATGATAGAGACATTCTAAATGTCATGGTAAGGTCTTGAGGTGTTATTGTATGGGTGGTGGGGAGGCAGTGAATATTTTAGAGTGGAATACTGACATGATTTATTTTAAATACATTACTTCAAAAAACATAAGTTCTGTCAGTTATGTATATTACAGAGTACCTTGAGAGACAGAGAGATTGGCTAGAGGAGACATCTGATATGGTTGGCGAACCATAAGTTACAAAGGACAAGACACTGAGTCTGAGGAGTAAGAGACTGGAAAGTCACAGGTGGTGAACATTGAGAGCTTGTAGTTTATCAATTCAGCCATCTTGCCAAAGCAGAAGCCTTTGACTAGAAAGTTTACTGCTCCACCAATATGCCCATTTCCTACTTATTCTTCAAAATGTGGAGGGCTTTTGCTTCTGGGAGGAAGTGTTCTCTGGCAAAACCCACACCCCCAGCCATGAGTCTATATTTGGGCCCAGCTCACTATGTGCTCCTTACAGCAGTATATATGTCTGGTTATCTTTCGTTTTACACTATGCTGTAAGTAATTTGAGTAAAGTGTCTATGGGTTGTGTTATGATCTCTCTTTATAATACCAAAACTTGTAGTCTGGAGTAGAAGTTAAATTAATGGATAAATAGAAAGAAGGACTGATAAAGTAATGGTGGTAGGAATGAGACACAAGATAGTTAATATAACTAGAATAATTACTTTCTTTTAAATCTTTCCAGCTCTGACTGCTTTTCTACTATTTTGCTTCAATAATTTGAGATAACGCTTTCTTTCATGATTAACTTTACAAAATACAATATTAATTTTTATTTATGAAGACACATATTGTGCTTTAAGTACTACATCATCAAAAACCTGATATAGATTCAGTCACAAAAAGTTAATTAAATTTTTTCTCATAAAAGTTATTTCATATTATTCTACACAATATAGCTGTATAATTGGAGAGCACAGTGAAATTGTGGTAGAGATTTTCAGTTAGTTGAAATATAACAAAAAACAAAATGAAAATGTAAACACACAATTTGTTGAATTATTATTAATTAAAATTAGGAAAAATGTACATTTCACAAACTATTAGCACATAAATCATATTTACTTATTTCAGCTTATAGGCTTAAACACTTCAAAATATAAAACTATGAAATGATATTTAATTTATTGATTTTTAATCTACCAAATGTTTAACTTTATGAACTTTATCTGTTAAAAGAGGATTAATTATGCCAATTGTTAATAAACCCTCGGCTTGTATCAGTATCTGTTCTCCATGGGTCTTTTCCAGTAACAGTTAAGTAAGTACCATTTCTAATATATCTAATATATCACTGTTTCATACATCTCTCAGTTCTACCCATCTTGAACACCACATGGTCAATTTAGTAGTATTTGTGTTTTCTTAATAATAAAAATCATGCGTATTTTATAACATTTATAAACTAAATTGTGGGTAAGCAAATGGAAACTCACTCGATTTTTTGACAAAGGATAAATTATTAGTTTTTAGCTAATTTAAAAAATACATCTTTTCATACCAACTGTCGATATAGAGGAGCTGGATTGGTATACTGCTGGTGGAAGTTTAAAATAATACAACCACTTAAGAAAATGATATTTTAAAAAGTTAGGCTATATATGAAAATATTTGTTTCATTAAAATCAATACAATTTGCACTGCTCTTATATTCATATATAGACAATTTATTATTTATCTGTTTTCATATTGGTTTTATATTTTTATAACACATGAATCATTTGTTTATTTACATGTTAAAATGTATACATAAAAGGTGACCCATTCCACAGCACGGTTTGAGTACAATATCCTCTGTGTATGGCAATATTCATAGAAAAAGTCTTAATGATCTGAAAATATTATTTGGATAATACAATTTTCAATAATAAAAACAATAAATTGTCTAGCATCTAGCCAAATATGAATTAGTAACCACAGATTTGAAATATAATAACTATTAAATGATCTTAAAATTATTAAATGATCTTAAAATGTTAGCCTCAAGCTAGTAAATGAAGTATATAGCAAAGTGACTGTTCTAGTCTCCAAAGAATGTAAAGGGCTCTGCCCTCAATGTTACTAAAGAACGCCATTCTAGAGTGGCATAATTCTCATCCAACCCAGCTGTGCCAACATCTGTTTGCCAGTTCTCTAAGGAGGAATAAATGTAGAAGATAAAATGAGAACGAATAGAATGCGTACTCAGAAAATGTGCAAGATAAATGGATATGAGCATCAAAAGAAATCCTTTTTCAATGGGAATTTCAATAGTTTTATCAATTGGTGTTAGTAACTGATTTGAACTTTTTTCTACTGTTTAAAAATATACAGGGCACACATTTTCTTCTTGATTTTACGATGCATATTAAGCTGTCATATTTTTGCTTAACCCAAACTCTACCTTAGTGACAAGTTCTATAACGTTAGTGGTATTTTTAAAACAAAAGACATAAAAATCATTCACAATCAAAATATATTTTGTATACTAAATGGTGGACATTTTATGGGTAGATAACTAGACTTTCAAAAATAAAATAATACATATCTAAAGTTAGATTTACTTCAAATACACATTGATAGTTTTCAACACAAATCATGTTTAATCTTTAAACATATACTGAAACTAAATATAATATTTAATATGAACTTAACAAGATACGGTTTTAATAAAAATAGCTTACCATCATATAAAACACTATAGCAATAATTAAACCATATAGCAAATGTAAAACTTAATGCCAAGAAGAATTGCATCTTGCTGGCTTAAACATTATCCTACAATCTGAAATTCACAAGAGATAATAACAATGATTATCACTCTTAAAAGCATCATTGCATCACTATATTTAGCATTGCCAATTTATATTTTTCAATACGTAAGACAATGTTATCTGTGAACAACCTATAAAACCAATTCAGAGGTCTGAATTCACTCTATTAGTTTACTAGTTTACCACTTCTCAGCAATAGGGATAAGAATAATACAAAGCAATGCTGCAGATTTTCATTTTCCTGTGACTTCCTGGCCCATTGCTGTGATCTATATATAGATGAATAATAGGCCAAGTCTCTCTGATCCACAGCAAAGACCTCAGCATGCTACATCACAAAAAGTGCATAGCTTTCTTACATCACACTTATTTTAAATTAACATTCATTAGCTTCTGAATATTTGGCACAAAGAAAAAGTGAATGTGAAAGTCAGTTGCAAATAAATGCCATTATATCCTCATTAGCATACTCACATTCACTAATGCAAAATAGATGATGACAAATAGACCAGATTCTAACCATTCTCAACTGGATACTAGCAGATAAACAACCTGAATTTCATCCTGACAAATAAGTTAGTTTGTGCAAATAAGTTATAGTTCTTAACCATAAATAGGGAATAAAATATCTTAGGAAATAAAATGTGAATTCATAATCATTCTTGTTCAGTATAGGAAACTGTACTAAAACTCCTGCCTCCTAAAGGAACTATTGGTTAGTAATGGTGAAGACAAAAATTATTATATGAATGCTAAGCACATTAACATTGAATACACCCTTATATTGATATTTTATTTAGGCAAATGTCCTTAGGAAATCTGAATGAATGGAAATAAATTTTTATCAACAAATCAAAGATTATATGCAACATTCATAAATAATTTATTTTATATGCATAATGTACATTTTGCTGGCAATTGTTCCTACATGACCATTTAAAATTTGTACAAGAGAATAGTTCCTTTAGGAGGCATGAGTTTTAGTACATGAGATTTCAACTTTTTTATAAAATGTCAAACAAAAAATATTCTAAGCAACTGAAATGTACAGTTCTAAAATCTGTATGTGTCTTAGCTGGGAAAAAGGGAAATTTGACAACATAAAATATGCAGTTGTTAGTAATTGCTTAGCCTTAAAATTCCTGAATAAAAAAAATTAATGTCCAAATAACCCTTCTGATCCTTATCTTCCTCATATATGGGAATAATTATACTAGCTTTGTTTTAGGATTTTGAAGATTACAGGATAATATGTATTTAAATGTTCAGAATCTGGCTTGGTAAATAAAAGGCACTAAACATTACATGATAAATATCATTACTGCTGCTAATATAATAATTATTGCTACAAGTAGTAGTAGTAATAGTAGTAACAGGAGTAATATCAGTGGGAAACTCATCATTAATATGTTCTTGGGTTTGGAATGTTAGTAATAAAGTCTGGCTTCATTTATGATGTTTGACGACTGACCTCTTTTAAAGCCTCACTTCCCCTTTCCCCTTTGGCACTGCATTTGAACAGCTGTTAAGAAAGCCTCTACATTTCTGTGTCTCCTCTTTTGGCACTAATGGATAATTTAAACCTCTTATGCATGGGAGCTTGTCCCCATTCCAACCTACTTGTCACTATAAAAACCCAACTTACACCCTCTAGTTTGGCCCAACCAAGCTCAAACCTGCTTGTACCTGACCAGCTGTCCCCAGGGATCCCTTGTGTGAGGAATAAACTTTCACTCAAATGTTCTTGGTGTGTGAAACATCATCCACCTTGACATCCAAACCAAATTTCAGTTGTGGATCCATTTCTGCTTCCATAGGATAACAACAACAACAACAAAAGTCTGGCAGACCCAGAAAGATGCGCTAATAGATGACCACTACTGCTTTGAGAGCTTTCTTGTCTTGCTCTCCACTTACTAAGTACAAATAACTGCATATAGTGTATGGGATGGCTGCTCTGTTTGTTAGTAAGCTTGTACTTTCTATCATGCTGCATTGTGCTCTATTTGTGCAGCCTTGATGACCCTGTGTTATAAGTTTTGCTGACCTCAATTGGAAGTTTTGATATTTGACATTTAGGAACGGGGTATGGAATCAAGTCTCTCTTTAGAGTATTCCTGGGTCATGTGTCTCAGCCCAGACCTATCTGTGTGTCTTTGAATGAATTTTGTATGTAACTGATGCTATGGTCAGAGGGATAACTCTTATTCCGTGACTTATTGTTTGTTTCAGCCAGAAGTTGACCTCCCTTCTATAGAGTGCTCAGGGAAACACTGTCATACTCTCCATGATATATGAGTCCATCAGGAGGTTAGTCATGAAAAAAAACAAAAAACAAAAAACAAACGTGAAGAGAGTTAAAGAAAGAAAAAGCGAGAGTGAAAAGAAAAAGCAGCTATTATGCGGTTGAAATACATTCACCCGTTCTTACTCTGCTGACTATATTGGAAGTCAATGGTGCTCCTTTAGGAACCCACATTATTATTCAGCAAAATTTCTAAAATGATGCCACTCAGAAAATGTCCAAAATAATATCCAAATATATGATTAAAATCACTAAAGGCCTCAAACCCCTAAATGAGAGGCAAGACTCTCTGGCAAATATGGGTTATGAATGGTAGCCTAGCCTTAGACTATCTACTAGCCAACTAAATTTTGGAAAGAAAAATATTAAAAATAAGATTTCAACTGACTGGTGTAGTAGGGTTACCCAGTGGGACAGAACCAATATGATATATTTATTTAGGAGTTGATTAGGGAGAATTGGCTCACAGGATTACAAGGCGAATTCCCACTACAGGCCATCTGCAAGGTGGGGAAAGAGAAAAGGTGGTAGTATGGCTCAGTCCAAGTCCAAAAGCCTCAAAACAGGGAATCTGAAAGAGCAGCCCTAGATCTGAGGCCAAAGGCCCAAAAGTTCTCCAAGAGGCTGCTGGTGCAAATCTCAGAGTCCAAAGGCTACCGAACCTGGAGTCTGATGTCCAAGTGATGGCAGTGACGACTCATCTGGACTGGCTGCTGCAAAGACGATGGCTGCAGCAGAGGAAGTGCAGCCGGGGCTGCGCTCTACTTCGAGCCGGTGGGGGCCTGGAAGAGGCGGGAGCCCCATCCCCTACCGATTTTGTGGGACGTGTGTAGCTGCAGCCGCTCAGTCGTGGCTGTAGACCCTGGCATCCCTATGCTCTTGGGGGCCTGGGAATCCTCGCCTACCCTGCAGGCTTGGAAGTTCCTGCTACCTCCCCTTGGCCTCTCCTCGCTCCTGGCGGCCATTGCAAGGCAAAGCAAAGTTGTGGCCAAGCCTGAGTGCTGTCTCAACCTGGCCAGGTGTGCTCGCACTCAGGGTGGAACTGACTCGTCATCTCCCTGCTGCCTCAGCCCCCTCCAGACTTTGGTTGCCCATGAACACAGGAGGGAGGCTGAAGGGGTGCCAAGGGCAGCTCGGGGAAGGCTTGCAGGTGCCCCTCAGCACAAACAGCCTGGGCTCCGTGGAGGACATGTTTATGGCGGCAGGAGGCAGACAGCCTCCTGTAAATAAATGGACGGTCCATGGTGAACCCTACCTTCAAGACAGGAACAACCTGAAGCCTGGGGCTTGGGCTGCCAGTTCCAGTGGAGTCTGCGGCCCAGAGTGAGAACTTACGGTGCTTTTTCCAGGCCTGTCCACGGCTGCCCATGGACCAATCTTCATGCAACTGCCTCCCTTCTGAGCTTATAAAAACCCCTGGACTCCGCCAGACTTGGACAAACATCAGGATTAGCAGCTGCAAAAAGGAACTACCCTCTTTGGGTCTCCTTGACTCATTGGGACAACCTGCCCGCACAAAGGAGCTATCCCTGCCAGGTCTCCTCTCCTCTGAGAGCTGGACACTTGTCGGGACAACCTGCCTGCGGAAAGGAGCTACCCACTGTGGGTCTCTTCTCCACTGAAAGCTGCACACTCTTCCGGACGACCTGCCTGTGGAAAGGAGGGTCTCCTGAGAACTGTTCCGTCGCTCAATGAAGCTCCTCTCCACCTTACTCAGCCTACAGTTGTCCACGTAACTCATTCTTCCTGGACATGGTACAAAAACTTGAGACCCACTGAATAGCGGGACTGAAAGAGCTGTAACACAAACAGGGCTGAAACATGCTCCCCACCAACCATGTTGCGGTCTACAAAAAGGAGAGAAGAGCTGCAGCCCTTTGGGAAACCCAGACCTATGGGCTCCAGGAGCCAGGGCTGTGACACCCTCTTTGGGGCTCTGCCATTCCTGGAGTCTCCAAACTTCTGGTTGCCACCATATTCCCCTTGTTGAGACACAGGTGCCCTCAGTGGAAGCTGAAAGCGGTATACCTGGTCCAGCAAAGCCTCCCATGGAGCCGGCACGTGTGCTTGGGCCTGGAGCTTCCCACCGACACCACAGCTGCTGGCATGCCTTGCTGTGCACAGTAGAAGGGTCCCACGCTCACTCGCCTACACACCCCTCACTGCTCTGAGCCTGGCTCACCCTTGGCAGGTGTGGGATATGGGCCGGTAGCATGAGTTGAGCACAGCCTGCCAGGTGGGGTGGGCAGAACGAGCCCAGCAAGCACCAGCAACATTTAGGCAGAAGGCACTGCCAGCTGGTGAAGAGACACCCTAAGTATCCTGTGACACAAGGGTAGAAGAAAAGGAAGCCAAGTGTCTGGCACAGGAAGAGAGAGAGAGGTAGTGGGTGAACTCAGCAAACTGCTAATCCCCCTTTTTCTGCCTGCTTTGTTCTAGCTTCACTGGCAGCTGATTGAATGGTGCCCAAGCACATTGAAGGTGAGTTTTCCTATTTCATTCTGCTAAATCAAATGTCAATCTTGTCTGGCAACACCCCATCATGGAAACACCCAGAAATAATGTTACCAGCCATCTAGGCATCCCTCAATCCAGTCAAGTTGACACCTATTATTAACCATCACAGTTGGGTATATAGCATTTTGGTGCACTAAACTTTTTACTGCATGTGGATAAACAGCAAAGGCAAAGTTGCTCAGGTGGCCCAACAAAAGATTCAACAGGTTAAATTTAAGAATATCACTTGGGTATTTGAGCAAATACCCTGAACACCCACAGAGGTCTCTCAGATGTCTTCATCTATCTAGAGTAAATCAATGCATATATTCATTGAAAGACGTTTCATTTTCATTACAGATGGGTGCATAGGCATATAGTTCTAAGATTTATAGTTACACTCAACTTCAGTGAAATGAGACATGGCACATTGCAGTCTTCAACCAAACATCAGAGGTGAATAATAAGAAGGAGTCTAACTCCACTGCTGATGCTTTATCACTGATTTCTTTTCATGCCTCACATTCCTTTCTCCTTTCTTGGCCCCATATCTGGGCAAGGTTATAATAAAGCCCAAGCACAAGAGCCTCCTTTGTTGGTGTAAACAAAACAATTAAGCCTCCTGCATTTGGGGAATTTTCCCCAATTCCAACTCTTGTTCCTACAAAAGCTCAACCCACAGTCTCTGCTTTGCCCAAGCCAGCACAGATTTTCTTGTTTCTGTCCAGGTATATTCAGAAATTCTTCATGTAACAAATTTTATCTCAAATGCTTTCAGAGTGTGGAGTGTCATCAATCTTGACATCTGAACCAAGTTTCAGGTGATGACTATCTTGATTCTGCTAAATGACTACAAAACATAGGTAGCCCATTGAACCTGAGAAATATATTATCATTCAATGGAAACATCAATATAGATTAGTAATTACCAAAGAAGATTTCTTAGAGCATATATTAAAAAAAAATTACAGCACAAAGATATTGCCAAGTAAAATATTTTTCAGAAATGCAGAAGTAAACATAATTAAACATCATATAAATTCAGGTCTTTCCAGAATCTTTAGTATTCTAATGTTACTTATAAATTACTAATAGGCATATATAATGCAAGATTGAACAAATGCATTGGTTGAAAAAATTGGAACTGCTATTCAAATAAATTATTTTACAGCCTTAAGATTGTTATGGCAATGTCTGTTTTGATTGGTAGTGGCCATGCTATACTAACGGTTTTTATATATACAGCTATATTCATAAATACATAATCATACTACATATATGGTGTGTATATTGTAGCCATACACATGTAGAAACATACAACACATATGCAACACATTTATTGCATATGTAGCACATGTATTATATAACACTATCATATCATACTATATATACATATATAAAACTGGATATGTCATATCATATCCAGTTATATAAATATATATATATATTCCTTCAACAGAACTATATTGAATGGAGCATGGGCTCAACTAAATCCATTCAAACACATTTTTAGCAATACTGGTTTATGATTGTCTATCCTATATATTAATATTTTTCTCAACTACAAAAGACTCTAGTTGTCAGAAGATTATGTTTGCTTTGAACTGAATTTGTCCATTTGGCAACTTTTAGCCATTTTTACTTTCTTATTTAGTGTTGCATAATAAGTGTGTTTTCACAACAGCCTTTCCTAATGTCTGTAGCTAGGACTTTACACCAATCAAGACATAATCCCAGATAATAACAGTGTCCAACATAATAATGGAGAGTCTCTTTTTAATGAGTTAAAACATTCCACTACATTAGAGACCTTGAGAAACTTTAAAATGTACAATTTTCCACAGAAACTCATTTTCTGTAAATTCCTTTTTTATTCTCTGTAATTTGATAGCATTAGGGACAAATATTTAATAAAATGCAGAAAGTCTATGTGAATTGCTACACAATGTTTGCTGCACATATTTTCTACGTCATAGCCTTATATTTTCACATTAACCTTCTCCCTAGTAAGAAATAGGGTCTCAGTAGAGTTACCCTATTTGGCATTCTCTTTTGCATTTTGGGAAGAAGCCTTAAACAGCTTCCAGAATCTCAGCCCTTAGATTTAGTCAGTGAGAGACATTTAATCAAATTTTGGGAAGTGGAAGAAAAATAAAAGCCAATATTCTGTGATAGCAAATGCAGATAGCTTAGAATTTCAGTTGCAGCTTTCTTTGTTTTTGGAGTCCTACTGAGAAACACCTGTTGCAGGCAGACACTTGAAATCACAACTACTGTGAGCAGGCAGTTCAGAACATCTCTTGGATTCCAGGGCTTTTCATGAAAATTACTGACTTTGCTGCTGTAGACATCTGGGTTTATTGGCTGTAGAAACTAGATATTCTCACTTTGGTAATATCTGAAAGCAGTTTGCTGTTCTTTTCTTTCTAATTCTTCCTCAGTTTATGTAAGTCTCTAATCTCCTAGAATAAATCATTATTTATTTTAAAAGATTTTATTTTTCCTGACTAAACTCTGACTGAATAAGTTATAGTCATTTCCTAATTGTGAAATAAAATTGAGTTCCCAGGCTGAATCTCTTCTCTAATCTTCCCAGAATTTAATATAATTGACAAAATCATTCTCTTGAACCTCCCTATGTTCCCCCATTTTATTCTATGACCACATACACTTCTGATAGCCTACCTCTCTTTCAAATAGTCTTTATCACTTACCACCATATTTCTAATAGGATCAGTGAAACATCTGTTCCTATACCATGAATGTATGTTTCCTAAAAACAGCACTGTGTTTTGACTCCCTTCCTTCTATAATGAAGTACGGGATTACTAGCAATTTAGGTTAAAGTCTGTTTTCAAATGTTTCAGTTGGGTGATCTTATACACAGTTTAATAAGAATAGGCTTTAGATACAAATATGTATAGATTCTAGCCATAAATTTTGTAGCTATATGACGTTTTAGATAAATTACAGCATCTTTATTGAAAATACAAATTGGGAATACTACTACTTACTTCACAAGCTTGTTAAATAATTAAATAAAAAGTAGTATGTTTACATTACTTCTAAATTGTCTGGCATGTACTGTTTTTAATAAAATGAGCCTCTTCTATTTATATTTAGAAGCATTAAAATAACCTTCTTATTATAATTTTATGAATATTTATATTTAAATTAAGGAAGAACAAATTGTGCTTTTGTAAAATACCATTTTATAAATGTCTTTCTTTTTTATATTGAAATCTTTAAAAGTCTTCCTACACCTATTGATTTACCATCCATAGAGGAATGTGACACACATATGTACTAGTAGCTCTGTAGCTGTACTCCTAAAGTTAAAGTTAAAAAGGCATTTGCAATAGACTTTAATTAACTGTTTATGATTTCTTGTGAAACTTTCAAAGATATATCATAGAAATATCATATTTTTCACTGTAACAATTTATAAATTTAGCAAAAGTCATTAAAAGTAGTTTTTTTCTGAATTTCAGAAATTTAATAAACCTTTCTATTATATTTAGGGGATTTCTAAATTGGATTTGGAGCTATAATCACATGGGGACATGTGACTCTAAGGTGCATCACTTCTGGTTTGGCCCTCAAAAACAGTTAATGCCTCCTTCATCATTCTCTTTTTTGATTTTCTCCCATCATACAATGAATGTGGATGCTTCAAGCTTAGATAACATTAAAAAATGGAGACTGCATGGATCCTAAGTGACAGGATACAGAGCCTCTACTGACCCACATTGAAAGTTCAGAATATATGAAATAAACGTCTATTGTTTTAAGTCTCTGATAGAGAGTTTTGCATTTTGTGGCAATAAGTGCATATTTTCCTCAATATATACAGTTAAAATGAGGTACAAATACATACCTATTAATACAATCCAGACCATATATTTATAAAAATATATGAAAAGTTTTCTTACTAACTTGAAGCTCTTAAGAAGCTGAAACCAGTCTGAAGCAAAAATAGTCATAATATTAACATGAACATTCAGCAGCATTTGTTGGCCAAATACAGCATGTGCTGCTTGTGTTACATTTAGATCTAGTATGTCTTTGTTTGTTTTAGTATAATGAAGGGGAAATTATCTCAACTGAAAGTTCTTTCAGAAATGTGGGCATACTGACATTAGGCTTTAATTGTTATAAATACTCCTGAAAAACAAAAGAAGAGGCAGAATTTTTGAAGTGGCATCCCATGTAATTACAGAAGCAGCTTCAGCTTTATTTGTACTCTAGTACTTTAATGACAAAAAACTATATAAAGTTGTTAGGTCTAGTCTAGCACACACATTATATATTAGTACTCAAATTAAAGAAAATAAAAGACTATACTGTGAGTAGAATCCTATGAAGTTTTACAATGTGGCCTGCATAGTGATCATATATATATATACACATACGTATATATATACACATATACGTATATGTGTGTGTATATATATATATACACACACATATACGTATATGTGTATATATATATATATATATATATATATATTTTTTTTTAACTCCAAGTTCCTAGCAGTAGTGCTACTGAAGAAAATCTGTCTGCTTAGTGGAAATCATTAGGCCAATGATTTAATTGGTGTAATTCTCTTATCAAAACAGGATTAGTGTCCCCAGAGTTTCTATAACTTCATTCTTTTACTTTATTATCTGGGTGAACCCATTCCCATCTATAACTTTAGCTACTATGCTAATGACATAAAAGCCTCTATGATAAACTAGATGTGTCTGTAAACTCTAATTTTTCCAAATGCATTTTGGATAGTTCCAGTAGATTGTACTATTCGACATAAAACTCACACTTAAACACTCAGCCAATTAGATCTATATCATCAGCATAAAGCTCTTGCCAATGGCATAAGTTATTACCTTCCATTAGTCAGTTGGTTATGGAATATTTTCAAAATGATTCTCACATACCACTTAGCCATCTAGTCAAGGTCTTCTGCTCTATCATCCTCTAATATAAAGACTTTAAATAAATGTTTCTAGCCTCTTAGCAAATATTAGCAAAGAGTTTATAAGCAAGGTCTAAGTTTCAAGGATGAATGCTCTCAAAAAGCATCACTTTAACAGTAATTAAAATTTCTATTTGTCTACAAAAACAATTATAATACTTTTAGCTTGGACAGAGACACAGAAATTTGTAAATTACCAATCAACCTAAGAAATACAATGCTTGTGAGTGTGGTTCTAGTAAATTATCTTTTTTAAAAAAAATACTATGAATCAATAAAGTAATGATGTGTAAAACACGGAATCAGTAAGTGAAAGTAGGCAGATAGTCTATGAATAAGTGGGTATACAGTAAAGCTGGTGTGTTGCCTGAGATGGAGCTAAAGAACGCTAAACCAAATGTATTGTCTGTTTCAAAAGTATTATTTTAAATTTATTTATTGATGAAATATCTTTTTCAGCCTGCATCCAACAATGTGATTTTCATTAGCAAGTATATTAAATGAAATTTTATATTTCTGGATCATTCTATCAAAACGTTTTTGGGACTCTTTTGCTAACATTTCTTTTATCTGTAAAAACCTTATATTTACAAATCATTTTTGAAGTTTATAACATTTACATATTTATCTCAGTTCTTTGAATTTATATAAAGATAACAATATATGAAGTTGTTATAAACAATATATAAACTTTGTCTGGAAAGGACTGTTAGTCTTTTCTCACTGTTACGTCCCTAGCACCTAGAAAAGTATCTGTCATTTAAAGTGTTTAATGAACAATTTATAAATGTGTGAGAAACAAATAATTTTTTTCAATGTAAAACTTTTATCTCTTATTTTAAAGAAGAAATTGTATTAAACTTTCAAAAGAAAATATAAGCTCCTATAATTGTGACAGATGATTGTGCATACAATTAGAAAATAAACAATAGTTGTCTCTTACACTGTTTTCTGTAAACCAAATAAAAAACAACACTGGTACTTATTTGAACCATCTTGTTGGATAGATAAAGTACAAAAACCATAAAGAGGAGATCATTTGAGGGCTGCACTTCACTCAGAGGGAAAGATTTTTTTTCAAGAAAATTAATATGTTTTGGTTTTATTCAGGTTGCTTTTTGGTGAAAAACACTTGCAGGAAGACTTACACAATATCCATTGCAACTACTGCTTCACTTATGTTCCTTTACCAGAACTTAGAAACAGAATACTGAAATTTTCAGGCTGCCTGCAGCTGGGTTGGCCATATGACTCCACTGTGGCTAAATATATGAAGGCAGTAATGAGTTGAATTCATCTATTCCACTTCTTGCTTCTTGCAACATGAATTTAACGTCAAGACACATAATGGTGGATATATATACATGCAGATAGATAGATAGATAGATAGATATTACACACACATATACATACATAAACACACATGTATATATACATATACATATTATATATATATACATATTATATATATACATATTATATATATACACATACTATATATATACACATACTATATATATATACACATACTATATATATATATATATACACATACTATATATATATATATATATATATATATATATATAAAATTTATGACCATGGATACAGACACCACATGCTGTGGTGCTGATACAGCAGAAAGGTAGAAGAAGTACTATTTTGATGACTTCAGAAGCTACATCATTATTATGCCTACTGACTTCAGACTTACTACTAAATAAAAATAATAATATCTATATAACAACTGTCATATTTTCCATAATTTTCAGCTTAATGGTAATCTAAATAATTATCTTTTCCACACTGAACATAACATGTGCATTTTTTTAACATTTATTTTTATTAGAATATAATCACAAAGTACTAAATGTGTATTATATTATAGACAATATATTTGTATCAGGAATTTATGAAATTTCTGAGTACTGTCTAACCTAACTACATGTAAGCAGTATTTGAACAAAGATATCATTCTTAGCCCTAATGATTGACTGTTTTTCCTCAGTTTTCCACTTATAAAATAATATCCATGAAATAGGAAGTATTCAATAGTATTCAATACAACAAAAAGGACCTAACATCATAGTGTGAAACTTTGATAAGGTTAACAGGCAACGGTGCACTCATGAGCTTCATGAGAAACAATAATAACGTACTGCTATGTAAAATACACGAGCAGATTTCCCTTAGTAAGTAAATGGATGTCTTGTTTATTCCCAGACATTTTGGGATAAAACTTAAACCTGTGATCTGGCCCTGGAGCTGACAGAAAGAGGCAATCCGTTTACCCTCTGCCCTGCTCATAACCAGCCCTTGCTCTATGAATAGGGGAAATGTGCAGAAGGCTACATGCCAACCCACTGATATAAGTTAACTTAAAGGCATAAAATTGTTTTTCTCTGTGTTGAAAAAGTAGAAAAATAAATTTTTGATTAAACAAATAGTAATTTCCCCAATGGCCACAGGCTGCCAAGGCAGAAATGGAGAAAAAATTGATTTTTCTTTTGTTTCAGATTATTCTTTATATTACACAGAAAAAATAGATTCTTTAACCTGCCTACCTCACCCAAAAAATCATGCAACCACTTTAAACTATTCCTTCACAATTTTTCTGGGTTTAAAACTGGAGAAGCATCCTAAGTATTGGCCCTAACAATCAGGTACTGATAGTGTAGCACGGGAATTTTGTCTAATAAGAATGAGCAAATGTTTATTGAAATGATCAAATAGTTGTTTTCTTCCACTCTGTAAATGTCATGTATTTTATTTAATGATTTATAAATATATGTTAAATTATCCTTACATTCCTGAAGTGAATCCCACTTGATAATGGCAAATGATTTTTTTAATGTACTGTTGAATTTGGTTTGTTAGTATTTTCTGAGAATATTTGCATCTATGTTCATCAGTAATATTGGACTAATTTTCATTTGTTGTAATGTTCTTGTCTGGATTTATAATCTTTCTTGAAAAATGCTAAGAGAGTGCATGTAAAGTGCTCTCACCACAAAAAAATAACAATGTCAGGTAATGCATATGTTAATAAGCTAGTTTTAGTCACTCCACAATGTATCTGAAATTCAAAACATCATGAACAGATTTATTGTACACAATAAATACACGTATTTTTATTCTGTTGATTAAAAAAATGATTAAAAAGAAAATGATTATTAGACATAGGCAAATATCAAACAGGCCTTAATTTGGAAAAAAAATTCAATAGAAGGCAAATCAAAGCCCTTCTGGTTTCAAAAAAGATCCCCAAATTGTCATATTGCAGATAAATTTGCTTGCTGACTAGCAGGTAGAATTCCCTCTCTGGTGAGATTAAGAAAAAGCAAATGGATGCCTAAAATTTTCAAAATTCACTAATCTAGAAACAGATTCCTCAATAACTGCCAGATTTTTTTCCTAAATCCTAGAAAACAAATGATAGATTTTACTCTAAAGGCTATATGGTTGCTATGTCTCAAGTCTAATTACACAGCTGTGGATTATATGATGGTGATGGTGATGATGATGATCATGACAATAGAAACATTACATTCAGTGAGTCTATATATTTGTCATATATAGAATTTGATTCCAATTTATTCTGAAATCAAGGATTCTGTTGTTTATCACTACAGCATTATGCCTCCTGTCTTTTCAACTCTAGGAAACGATTTTGAACTTCTTCATATGATAGTCAGATAGTTGTAGGTTAATCTTCTCCATCATTTTACTAAACACTAATATGTAATTTTTAATACAGAAAGAGAAAATAATTTAAAAATGAAATGTGTAATTGTAAAATATGAGTACCTGTATGTTTAAGCAAAGTAAACAAATTTGACTTATGAAGGCCACATAGTAATCAGCTATCAAGTATAGAATCTCATACCTCATTAAATAATTCAGACAAAATTCAAGGCAATGAAACAAAATATCTTCCTTCCCTTCCCAGCATGCCTCCTACCACCACCCTTTTCCCCAGAGAGGCAAGGAAACTTCCTGGGAAATCAGCCTGGATTTCAGACTCCTACAATCTGTCTTGACAAAATATGTTCAGAAACAAAGTCTTCCATTATTTATAGTTTCTGAAAGAGCCTACTTTTTCCAACTTCTAAATTTCCCTGAATAAGTCTGTGCCAACATCCAGCCCACTAAGAAAAACTTAAGAATTGTACTGTGTAACTTGAATAGTCTCTGTCTTTGACTTCTAAGTGCTACTGATCTAGAGTAATAGTTAGGAGGAGATTTGTGCCTGTGAACATAAGATTTACTTAAGAATAGCAGGCACCCAGCTCCTAATGTATCAGATAAATCTGTTTGCTGGTGAAGTGTTCAGTCCTGAAAGATTCAAACAAAGAAATGTAAAAACTTCTGAGATGATACAAGACCCAGGTCCTCTATGATCTTGCTTTTGAAGATATCTCCTTGTCAATAATGGGACATGGGATAAGAGCATTACCTCTTTTTCTTGTGTTTTTCTTTTCTCATCACATTAATTTCTCAAACAATCTAAATACACACAATCTCTGAGAAACTTTCAAATAATACGCATTTTTTAAAAACCCAGGAATTAGATAATTTATGGAGAATTTGAAGAATCTATAAGTCATATAAAGCTGCAAGTTGATTTGATTAACAGATGTGGAAAATCACTGTCTTATAAATTCTAAGGTTCTGATTTATACTGTCCCAAGTGTAGCCCACCACCTTCCTACCCAACCAAGGACAGAACTCTTCTTAGATTCAAATAATTATAACCAAATGGGAAACAATAAACTTTTCCATAGCTTCATCTTAGAAGATTTTGTACCTGAAGTTTTCCAGAAAATGGTATCAAAGAAGGGAAGCAAAACAAACTTGTTACAAAGTGCAGGTTTTGGTTCATACAAAGTACCTCTCCCTCTGTCTCAGGCCTCTGAGCTCCTTTACAATTTATCATTCTGTTTGAACTTTTATATTCTGTTTACAAGAAGACTAATCTCAATAGCTATAACCTTGTTAGGAATATTCTCTTACTGACCACAGAATTTAGTTCTCTGGACATCTGACTCTAGAGTCAATGCCTGGAGTAAGTTGGGGCTTTACTCAGATCATCAAACTTATTTTTAATTTTCTCTTAAAGGGACAGATGCTAGTGTGTTCTGTTTTATTTTGAGAAATATGTAAAATAACTTATCGAATGGTTTCAGCCTTAAGGAGAGACATTGTCTGCCTTGAAATTTCTTGCCCCTTAGAAATAGAAACTTATTTCAAATATGTTATTCAAACTTATGTTTCAGATTCATTATCCAAGCTATTAATGCTGTTTTGAAAGATTTATCAAAAAAATAGAAAATATAGAAATAACTAAAAATATAATGTGAAAATTTTAATATTAATATAATAAATAATTATTTGGAAACTTTGCAGTAATAGGATAAGAGAGAATTTTTAGGTAGCTGTTTAATTCACAAACATTTAGAAAATATGATGACAAATTTCATTCAATATAATAATGAAAAATTAAGATACATAACAAAAAATTAGAGAATGTTTAAGGCTTATGACTATAATGAAACTTGACATACAAGTTCAAAAGATATCTTGAATAAATGAAAATACATAAAATGTTCCTATATGAGAAGTTGCATTACAAAATGTAAATTCAATCCAGCTGGATGGATAGTATAGCAAAAATCCAAACACAATTCTAAAAATAATGAATGATTCTAACATTATCTAAATGGATTAAAAAACTCAGAATAACTATAAATATTCCAAAAAAGAAGAGTAATGAGAAAAAATTTTGTCTTATCAAACAGTAAAATTTACTGTAATTTCATTTTAAGTTTATAAATATTGTGCTGACTCAGTAATACATAAAAATGTATTATTTATAAATATTGCATCTTAGAATATTAGAAAAATTTGGAATTGGACAGAAAATTAAAGTCATCTTTCTAGCTTCCTGAACACAAAAGTAAATTTAACTCACAAAGACAAAAAAAAAGAATAACATCACTACCAATTACAACTATAATAAAATTAGAATCAAATGAAAATGATGGATTACAAGTGTGAAATAAATTCACTACATCATCTGTAATAGATAATATTTAGTTTATGAAATAATTTAAAATATTAATTAGGACAACTATATTGAAACATGACACAAAGATATAGGCAAGCAGCTTATGAAAGCATTCAAATTAGATTATAAAAAGGAATTAAAATTTTAAGTAAAATAAAAAAGAGAAAAAGATAATACATGGTGTTAATGCCAATGTGGAGAAACAATTACTTTCATAAGCCTAGTGGTACAACTAATTTAAAGGGCAATTTCATAATGGTACTTTGTAGAAATATTTTTTATCATAGTCTTATTTTAAAAAGAAATGACAGAAAATAATTTAAATATCCTCCAGCTTGATAAATACATTAAAACAGAAACCATCATTATGCTGATATTCTTTAATCACTATGAATTGGTTCACAATATAGTAATTTTACAAAGAACATTTCAAAGTATAATATAGTTAATAGTATAATCCCTTTTATATTTTTTGTAAGGAATGGGAGAGAACTAGAGATACAGAGAAAGCAATCAATTCTTTATCTACTTATCTATCTATGAATCTGGAGGATACAAAGTCAAATTTTTTAAAGTCTTCTGTGTGATGAGGTAACCAAAATATGTTATTGTTCTCCACTCTTTATTTTCTAAATTTTACATAATGGACACATTCTTATTACATAAATTCAATACATTTAATTCTATTTTTTAAAGGAAATTATTTTATATGCATCTGTGAATGCTACAGATTTTTGTAACCCAAATGAAATTAAAGGTTGTGTAACAAAACTAAAGTTTCATTTAAGGACTTTTGCTCAATGAGAAAAAAAATGATAAAATTTATACATAAATATTGATCCATCTAGCTTGTTTTCAATACATTTTTTAAGTGAATGAGGGAAATGGAAAGAGATACCAGTGTTTATACCTTAAATAAATGTAAAAAACTATTTTATTTTTTGTTCCTTCTTCTCATTTTATATTCTTCTCCTTTTCTTATTTGAGAAAACATAATTGTCATATGAACATATTCTTTAACATAATGTCTTTTGTGAGATGGCAATATTAATTTATTTGTGCTCATAGAGTTCAAATATAATTTTAGGTAAATGATGTCAGGTAATCAAACTGTCTAAAATATTATAGATTACAAATTAATTTATATGGTGCTTCTACCATTATATATTGTTACTACAATTATTACTATATGATCTGGATATTTATCAGCTTTAAAACTTTCTGTTAGGTAAACCTTAAAAAAACAAACAAGTAGCATGTTGGGTAAGTTAGGTCTATGTTTATTTAAAGGTAACAAAATATGTCAATACAAATGACTTAAACCAGGAAAAAAGTATATTTTTAATGTAACAAAAGAGATCTTCAGGGATACTATTCAAATCTGATCCAATAGAGTTCTTAGATACAATAAAAACCCTGGCTGTTACAATCTTTCTACACTAGGGACATTAGCACTTGGCTTTTATTCAGGGTCAAACCTGTTGCAGAACGTGAAGGAAACAGAACAGTTTACACAGAGTACGTTGTGAATGCTCTCCCAGGGATTGCCCAGATCAAGGATCCAATTTTCTTCATCCTTATGGTCATAGGGGTGTTACTGCATCTGCAGGCATAATACTAACATTCCAGGCAAGAAAATAAGAAAGGAGCTTTTTTTTTGTAAGGTTTCATTTGAGAGAAGAAACCTTCACCACATAATTTAATGTATGTCTCAATGTACAGAACTATGTCATCTATGAGACACAGTTAACTACAGCTTTATAAGAAGCTTATAATAGAACTATTTTACTTCCAAACAATAATGAGGGAAAGCAACAGAGAGGAAGTGTGAAAGGCTATTGAGTAAGCCAACGTTCATTCATCATTGTCTACACATGGATGACTGATATTCCCAAAGCACATTTTAACCATTAAATTCACTTTTGTTCTCCATAAAAACATTCTTTCCCAAAATGGCCTACATGAATTTTCATTCCTTAATGAGCCATGGCTCTTTCTTTTTGTTGTTGCTACTAATTGGAATATATAAAAGAAACAAACATTACAGAATATATCTTTCTAGAGCTTACTTTTTCATTTAACAATAAAGCTTGAGAATCATTCAATTTTAGTATTAATAAATTTTTACAAAACTTATAACGTTCTGTGCTTACTGCCACCACAACCATTGCTTCCAGGGCTCAAGCACATTCTTCTCAAAGCTTGAGAGCCACCTCTTTGGGGAAGCTGCCACTGACAGCTACTCTACCTCCCAGCAGCAGGACCACCACACATTTTCCCAAACCTGAGGACAGGCTCTTCTGACCTTCTGCTGGGGCATAAAATACACATTCCTCAGAGCCTAACAGCTGCCTACCCTGGGCTGTTGTTATTGGTAGCAAACCTCCACACCAGCAGCACGGATTCTACACACTCTCACATGCTCTGAAAACGGGTTCCTCCAACTGCTTCCACTATGACTGTTATTGCTGCCACTACCACTGCCACCAATGGTGGAGGCCGAAACTCATGCTTCCCAAAGTCTGAGAGTTGCCTTCCTGGTGCTGCTGCAACCAACTCCAGGGTTTCAAAGGACTTGAATGCACCCTGAGATAGGCCTTTCCTGTCCACCACTGATGACACTGTCACCACCACTCAAAATGTCACCAAGGGCCTGAAGATCACCCATTTGCCCCTCTCCTCAGCAAACCCTCACCACAGTTTCCACTAACAAACACAGCATCAGCCACTAAGTAAATCACAGACACCACTGACTCTTTACAGTTTAAAAAAAAAAAAAAACAATGTGAAAGCTACACTACTGCATGTACCCAAAATCAAAGCTAAAGTACCCTACCCAAACTACTCCATAAATACATCTTCAGTAGAAGGTCTTCCCCGATGAAAGCTATTTAAAAAAAAGTGGAAGAAGTGACTGTCACCCGATGGGAGATATGACCATATCTCCATAAAGTGTCATTTATGTGTCATTTATGACCATAGAGACACAAGAAACATGACAAACAAGAAAATTTAATACCTCATGAGGAAGACAATAATTTTCCAGCAAAAGATTTCAATTTAAAAAATTATGAAATGCCTGATAGCAAATTCAAACTTATGATGTTAAGTAAGCTCAGTGAGATAGAAGAGAACACAGACGAATAATACAAAAAAAAGGTAAGTAAACAACTCAGGATATGGATAAGAAACTTGTCAAATAGGTAGATATCATTAAAAAGAACCAAGTAGAAATCTTGGATTTGCAGAATTCCATGGATGAAAACAAAAAACAAAAACAAAAACAAAAAAACAAGATCTTCAACAATAAACTAGGTCAAGCAGAAGAAAAAATATCAGGACTTGAAAATGTTTCTTTTGAAATAATGCTGTAAGAGAAAACAAAATAAGACAAATCATAATTTTTAAAAGCTTATGTGATATATATGACATAATAAAGTGACCAAAAATCTGAATTTTGTCTTTTCCAGAAGGTAAAGAGAAGATAAATGGCTAAAAAACCTATTTAACAAAATAATAGCTAGAAACATGTCAACTATTTTGCCTAACAAGAGGTTTAGATATCCAGATACTGGAGGTCAGATATACCAAGACACAAATCACAAAATTCTTTTCCAAGGCACGTTATAGTCAACCTGTCATATGGCAAAAATAAAGAGAGAAATCTAAAAACAGCAAAAGTGTCTAAGCCACATATAAGGGAAACCTTATCAGAATAACAAAACAATTCTCAGTAGAAACCTTACAGGCCAGGAGAGAATGGGATGATATATTCAAAGTACTGAGAGAAAAACAAACAAAAAAACAAAAACTAAGAAAACTATCAGCTAAAAATACTTTCCCCAATAAAGTTATCATCACCACTAGACCTACCCTACAAGAAATGTTTAAGGGAGTTTTACAGCTAGAAGCAAAAGAATGCTATCTACCGTGATAAAAACAAGTGAAAATATAAAACTCATTGGTAGAGCAAACACACAAATGAGGAAGAAAAAGGACTCAAATATTACCACTGCAGAAAACCACCATAACACAACAATAAACAATGAGAGAGAAAGGAATAAAAGATATACAAAACAACCAGAAAAACAATTAACAAAATGGCAAGAATAAGTCTTCATATATCAATAACTATATTCAATGTCAATAAATTAAATTTTCTACTTAAAAGAGTTAGACTCAATGAATTAATAAAACATCATCAAAATTCTGCCTACAAGAAAATAGTTTCAACTGTAAAGACATATAGACATTTAAAAAAAGGGTAAAAAAATCCCATGTAAATAGAAGGCACAGTGAGCAGGAGTAGTTATGCTTATTTCAGATAAAATATATTTTAAGTCAAAAACAGTAAAAAGACACAAAGAAGGTCATTAAATAAAGGGATTAACTCAGCAAGAGGATATGGCAATTCTAAATATATATGCTCCCAATACCATAGTGCCCAGATATATAAAGCAAATACGATTAGATCTAAAGGTAGTGATGACTCTCATAAAATAATTGTTGGGGATTTTACACCCACTCTTAGCTTTAGATAGATCATCTTGACCGAAAATCAAAAAAAGAAACCTTAGATGTAAACTGAACTTTAGACCAAATGAACCTAACAGACATTAACAGAACATTCTATCCAGCAGCTGCAGAATACACATTCTTCTCATCAGCCTATGAAAAATTCTCCAAAATAGACCATAGGTAAAAACACAAAACAAATCTCAACACATTTTTAAAAATCAAAACCATATCAAATATATTCTCAGAATGCAATGGAATAAAATTAAAAATCAATAGCCAGAGGAGATTTTGAAACCGTACATACATATGGAAATTAAACAACATGCCCCTGAATAATATTTTGTTCAATGAAGAAATTGAGAAAAAAATAAAAATTATTTTTAAAAAAATTAAAGTGGAAACACAGCATACCAAAATCTATAATATATAGCAAAAGCAGTTCTGAGAAGGAAACTTATAGCAACAAATGCCTACAACAAAAAAGTAGCAAGGCTTCAAGAAAGCAACTAAATGAACCTCAAGCAATTAGAAAACAAGAACAAACTAATCCCAAAATTAGTAGACAGACAAAAGAAAAACGTGGAAATAGTGACTGAATGTAATGAAAGAGAGACTGAAAGAACAATACCAA
Organism: Homo sapiens; assembly: GCF_000001405.40. Taxonomy (NCBI): domain Eukaryota; kingdom Metazoa; phylum Chordata; class Mammalia; order Primates; family Hominidae; genus Homo; species Homo sapiens. The sequence continues at coordinate 30,741,415 of NC_000009.12, read as the reverse complement.
GGATCAGTGAAACAAAAAGTTGCTTTTTTAAAAATACAAACAACATTGATAAATGACTGGCTTAACTAACCAAAAAGAAAGAGAGATAATCCAAATATACACAATTAAAAATGAAAAAGGAGACATTACAACTGATTCCACAAAACTCCAAAATATCATCAGAGAATATAATGAACAGTAACAACCTAAAAAACCTAGAAGAAATGGAGAAATTTCAGGAAATATACAACTACCGAGACTGAATCAAGATAAATAGAAAACTTCCATGGACTAGTAATAAATAACAAGATTTAATTAATAGTAAAAGTCTTCCAATAAACAAAAGCCAAAATCAGATGGCTTCACTGCTGAATTCTACCGAACTTATACGTATATCTTTAAGCTTATGTAAATGTTTATAGAAATATATATGTTTTTATATATAAATATTTATATATATTTAGACACATATATGTTTATATATCATATATATATATATGTACATGATCATGCATGACCCAGGGAAGCAGACAGGGACAAGGGCCTAAACAAGCATGACTGGGCACAAGGCCCCAAACTCAGATACTTTGCTGCTTTTCCTCCTGTCAGTCTGATTTTTTATATATATATATATATATATATATATATATATACACACACACATGAATCTTTCAATGTTGGCTATTCTTGAATTCTTTCCTGAGTGAAGCCAAAATCTCTCCAGAGCTGAGCCCCAACTTGGGGGTTCACCTGCATCATTTCTACACAATTTCTATAAAACATTTGTATACAACAATATATATTGTGAGGTATATATATATACCTCAAACATATATATATATATATATATATATGTTTATATATTGTATTTGTTTTCATACTGCTGATAAAGACATATGTGAGACTTGGTAATTTATAAAGAAAAAGAGGTTTAATGGACTCACAGTTCCACGTGGCTGGGGAGGCCTCGTAATCATGGTGGAAGGCAAAAGGCACATCTTACATGGCAGCAGACAGAAGAGAATGAGAGCCAAGTGAAAGGGGAAACCCCTTATAAAATCATCAGATCTCCTGAGACTTATTCACTACCATTAGAACAGTATGGAGGAAACCACCGCCATGATTCAATTATCTCCCACTGGTTCCCTCCCACAACATGTGGGAATTATAAGAGCTACAATTCAAGATGAAATTTGGGTGGCGACACAGCCAAATCATATTTTATATACATATATATTTATATAGATAAGTTTTATATTTATATATAAGTATATATATTTATATATTGACTTACTATATAAACATATATATTTACTTGTGATATAATATATATTTATGTATATATTTATATTTATCTATATATATACACACATACATAAAACTAACATCAATCTCCTCAAATTATTAAAATATTGAAGAGGAGGAAATTCTCCCTAACTCATTCTATAAGGCCAGCATTATGTTGACACCAAACCCAGAAAAGATGCAACAACAGCAACAACAATAAACTATAAGTCAATAATTCTATAAGCATAGATACAAAAATTCTCAACATAATTCTAGCTAATAGAATCCAACAATATATCCAAAAGATACTCCCCCATAATTAAGTGGAATTTCTTCCAGGGATGCAAGGATAGTTCAACATAAGCAATTGAATAAACATGACACATTGTAGCAACAGAACAAAGGACAAAAACAATGTGATCATCTCAACAGATATCTGAAAAGCATTTGAAAAATTCAACATCCCTTCATGATAAAAACTCACAATAAGCTAGACACAGAAGGAACATACCTAGATATAATAAAGATCATATATGACAAACCCACAGCTAATAACATATTGAGCAGGGAAAAGCTAAAAGCCTTTAATCTAACATCTAGAACAAGATAAAGATTTCCACTTTCAAATTCCTGCTCAGTGTAGTAGTGGAAGCCCTAGTTAGGACAATCAGGCAAGAGAAAAATTAAAAGGCCTACAGATTGGAAAAGAAGAAGCCAAATTGTTCCTCTTTGCAGATGACATGATGTTATATTTAGAAAAACCTAAAGACTCCACATAAACCTCTTAGATCTCATAAACAATTTAGCAGTTGCAGGATACAAAATCATCATAAAAAGATCAATAGTGTTTCTGAGATAGGAGGTCAGCAAGACTTGTTTCCACCACGCTGCTGATCTAAACAAGATGTAGCAAAGAAACCAGCCAAAACCAGTTAGGGCTAGGAATTAATGCATTTACATGAGACACTCCAACCAGTGTCATGACAGTTTAGAAATGCCATGGCAGCAATCTGGAATTTACTTTATTTGGTTCCAGGAACTCCCTTCCCCGTTTCCAGAAAGTTTGTAAATAATTTGCCTCCCCCACCTTTTTTTTTAGCATATCATTAGGATTAGGTATAAATATAGCTAGTTGGCAATCCACAAGGGCTTCCTCTGGGATAGCTCAGCACCACAGGAACTACTCTCCCTATGGGATAGCCCTGTTGTGTCTAAGGAGCAGCCATATTGCTGTACAATTTTACTCAAAAAAAAAAAAATTGCTTTCTTTCACTGCCAGCTTGCTCTTGAACTCTTTCCTGAGTGAAGCCAAAATCTCTCCAGAGTCGGGTCCCAATTTTGGGGTTCACCTGCATCGTTCCTATACAACAATAATGAACTAGCTAAAAAATAAATCAAGAATATTTACATATCTGCAAAAAAAAAAAAAAAAAAACCCATGGAGTAAATATGACCAAAGAGATGGAAGAACTTTACAAAGACAGCTACTACTGATGAAAGAAGTTAACAAGGGCACAAACAAATGGAAAGACAGCACAAGTTCATGGACTGGAAGAATTAATATCATTTCAAAGCAATATACAGATTCAATGCAATCCCTTATCAAAATACTAATGACATTTTTTCACAGAAATAGGAAAAACAATTCGAAAATTTGTATGGAACCAAAAAATAACCTGAATAGTCAATGCAATAAAAAAAAAAGCTGAAGGCATCATATTATCTGACTTCAAAATATTTGACAAAGCTATACTAATCAAAATAGGATGGTATTGGCATAAAAATAGATACATAAACCAATGGAACAGAATAGAGAACCCAGAAATAAATCCACATTTTTATAGTCAACTGATTTTTGACTTGGCACCAAGAATATACATTGAAGAACGGACTCCCTATTCAATAATAATAATGAAAAAACTGGATATTCACATGCAAAAGTATGATAATAGACCCTTGTCTCTCATTGTATATATATATATATTAAAAATCAACTCAAAGTGGATTAAATACTTAAATTTAAGACCCCAAACTATAAAACAACTAGAAAAGAATACAGGAAAGCACTCCAGGGCATTCTTCTAGGCAAAGATTGTATAGCTAAGACTTCAAAAACATAAGCAACAAAAGAAAAAATTTTCAAAAATGAATTATATTTAACTAAAAGAATCTACACAGTAAAAGGAACAATTAGCAGAGTGAAGAGAGAACCTGGTAAACAGGAGAAAAAATTTGTTAGCTATTAATTTCACATCTGTCTAATATCCAGAATATACAAGGAATTTGATGAAATAGCATGAAAAGAAATAATAACAAAAATTGGGAAAAGGGTCTAAAAGCCATTTATCAAAAGAAGATATAAAAATGGCCAGCCGAAATATAAATAAATGCTCCACTCCATGAGCTATCATCTTACTCCAGTTAGAATGACTATTATTTAAAAAGACAAAAAAAAAAATTAACAGATGCTGGCAAGTCTGTGAAGAGGGAACTTTTTTACACTCCTGGTGGGAATGTAAATCGGTAGAGCCATTATGAAAAATAGTATAGATGGTTTTTCAAAAAACTAAAAATAGAACTGCCATATGTTCCAGCAATCCCACTACTGGCTCTTTATTCAAAAGAAAAAATAAGTATGTCAAAGAGATACCTGCACCTACATGTTTATTGCAGGACTATTCACAATAGCAAGGATATAGAACCAGAATAAGTGTCGTACACTGGATGAGTGGATAATGAAAATGTGGGATATTTACACAATTGAATACTACTTAGCCACAAAAAAATCAAATCCTGTCACTTGCAGCAATATAGATGGAGCTGGAGGTCCTTATGTTAAATGAAGTAAACCAAATCCATAAAGACAAATACCACAATTTCTCAGTAACATGCAGGAGTTAAAAAATCTAACCTCATGAAAGTAAAAAGTAGGATGATAGTTACTAGAGACTAGGAAGGCTCTAGTGAGTTGGGGTGAGTTGGGGGAAGGGTGAAGAAAGACTGGTTAATACATGCAAACATACAGCTAGCTAGAAAGAATTAAGTGTTAATATTTGATAAGAGGTTAGGATGAGTATAGTTAACAGTAATATATTGTATATTTGTATATAGCTAGAATAAAGATATTCAAATCTTCCTAACACATAAAATGATACATGTTAAGATGATGGATATCTTAAATACCCTGACTGATTGATTCATTACACATTCTATGCTTGTAACAAAGTATCACATGTACCCCATAAATATGCATAAAATCAAGTATCGATAATAAAACAAACACATATGTTTACATATACACATACACACAGATTGTAATATTCTAGCAGTTTAAATTTCATTAGAGTAGATGATTGCAATTGCTATATTGAGAGTAAACAGCAAGAGGAAGTATGAAGAAAAATAATGACTCATGAAACACTAAAATGTTATTAATTTGCAGTTCTGGTATATACACAGAATGCGAAAAGTAATTTTTCATGACTTTAATGGTGTCTTATTTAGGGGCATGATCTTTAGGATGATACTCTTGAAAAGCATTTTTTCCTTATTTGTGAAAACCTGAAGTATGATATTTTGTACATATACAATGAAGGATGAGATCCATTGATCTATTTATTCAATATCTTCATTGATTCATTGCTCAATAGAATCATTAGTTTACTTATGCATAATAAAGAAAAATCTTGTTACTTTTGGCAGCCAGGATAAGCAAAATGAAATTAAACAAAAAAATCTAACTTTCATATCAAACATTATATCAATTATAAATTCTTTATATCTTGTGGTATGGTAACTTCTTCACAGAGCTCAACCATCTCTCTTGGAAGACTCGTAAATATAGCCATATTTAAGCATATGATATGCTTAATGAACAAATCTGCTAGGACCAAAGTTACAACTGTTGACATGAACATTTTAGATGTAATTTCTATTCTCCTATCTTACTCAACAAAGAATGTGTGGTGAGTCTGTATGTATAATATTAATAATTATTTGTAATGAATTTGTAGTAAGTGAAGTGTGTTATTGAATATAAACTCATTAGTAAAATGAAAACAGTGATTGGTATCTTACAAGTTATTCATTCCTACTAAATTAAATCAGGTAAAAAATATATTCCATAGAATATCTGACTATCCAGTTATGGAAATTAGTCCTTTACACCCCCGTATTTAACTTAGGCAAGTCAGATAATATTTGTGCCATTTTTGCTGTTTGTGCTGCTTCTTAATTTACAAAAGAGTGAATGAGCCTTTCTGAGTTTTAGTATTTCCCAAGTTTACATATCTTGTAATGTGCAGAAACACAATTGTAGCTGGTTATTTTAAATACCAATCTAGTCTAGTGTCCTTTTAATTCCAATAACTTAAGAGAGAGAGAAAGAATTTCAATAATGCTATGTTTTAGCTTTACACTTAGTAATTTGGCATTGAATAAATATACATAAGGTTCTTCATCTATCTATATGTAAACGTATTTTTTCTTAGTTATTTTGTTCTTCTCAGAAAGATAAACTTCGGACTTTTCTATAGCTTTGATTCGTTCTACTTATGTTAGCATGTAGCCCTGGGTTAATTTCAATTCTAATCCTTCTCCTTCTCAGTGAAATGAGATACCTTTTATCACTGTTATGATTTTTGAGTGTTCCACCCCCCCAGATATTTGTACTTTCATATAAATGGAAAGCAGCTTTCAATATAATAATGTAAATAACACCACACACACAAAGGAATATTGATCTGTTAGTCATTCATCAGAGAGTAACTTGTCTGGCTGATGACATTTTTGTTATAAGGCCCTTAATAATTTCTAACAAACACACAGAAATAATGTATAATAAAAACTCATAAAAGTATGATATACTAAGTATTCATTTATTCATTTAATATATGTATTGAACTCTTGTATATGTCAGGCACTCTGCTTGAGGATGGAGAGACACAAAGGAAAACACAAGAACCCTGCATTAAGAAACTCACAGAAATAAAGAAGAAGGCATCGAATTCTGCCAAGCTGTATTAAAATAACAAAATAGCTATTTCATACAATTCATAAAATAATAATTAGGAGCCACTCAATCTTAATGGCTCCAAATCAGTTTATGTTAACTAAATAATTTTTTAAAATGTTAATTGGAAAATGATTCAACTCATTATGGTATAAGGTAACATAAGCGAGGCCTGAATTACAAAATTTTAATCAGAATATAAGGAGTATAGTTATTTGTCAAGAGAAAATTACATTAGGTATTTTTAAGAGTTAACAAAATAATGTTTAGATATTAAAAAGCATCTATATCTTAGAGTTAAATTTTGCCATGATCGTCTTGCAGATTGGCAGACAGTAACAAAGTAAATATAGCACTTTATTCAGAGTTTAAACTACAAGTAAAATTATTTTCTAAATTACAGTTTTATTAGCTTCAAAGTACATGTTGAGAACATAATAAAACTGGTCTGTAACATGTTTATACAAGTTTTTAAAGTTAGAGTTTATGAGGTCAGTTGTTAAGTATACCATAGCATTAAAGTACATCGTTCTTAATTAGAATGGTTATTCTCTTAAATCCCTAGAACCTATTTTTCACTATTAAATATTTACTTATAAGTTTACAAATAAAACAGAATAAATGTATTTGGATAGACTGTATTTAAATTTTCCTTTTCCCGTGATTTTCTTATTTGGATTTTCAAAACATATGATATTACATTTATATAAGCATATCAGTAATAAATTGAACTTTCCATGTTACTTGAACACAAAGTAATAATTATAAACTTTTATTTTTGATAGATACCGATACATAAAACTGGAGTATTTAATTTTTTTCAAAAAAATTGATCAAATAATTGACCCTTAATCAAATAACTGATATTATATCTTGGTTTTCTTCTATTCAAAAAAAATTCATGTGAGTGCTATGCAATGTAGACATATTTTTAACTAAATAATACTTATTTTACTTACTAGTGCTTTCTAAAATATTTTAAATTTTTATTGGTTACCAAGTAGATTGGAATAATTAATTTTACTGCAATGGAGCCTCACTTAACATTATTTCAATCATGTTAAACACTGAAAAAGGAAGATTTAAATACAATGACTACCCAAATACATTTCTATCATGAGATAATGTTGATAATTTAATATCATCTGTAATTATTTCATACAATATTTATGATTCCTTGGCTTCCTTATGATGGAAAATCAACTCAAACTGGTTTAAGGAAAAATGTGATATTATAGCCTTATGAAACATAAAGTTTCATGTTCAGTTTGGCATTTTCATCTGGGTTAAACCAGAGGCCCAAATAACACCATCAGTTGAATCTCTCACACATCTCCTGCTTCATAATTCCTCTGAATGGATTCATTGTCATGTAAGTTTTTTTACCCAATAGCCCTCAGCAACTCCAAATATATATTACTTTTATAGTTACCAGTTCCAAAGGAAATAAAGATTTTCTGTCACAATGATTCCAGCCAAATTCTTTTATGAAGTCCTTTTCATTTATCTTGGGTCAAGTAATTATCCCTCAACCAATAAAAGCGAGCAAGGGCTTATAAATCTCTGAATGTCTGTGATAGCCAAGAAGGGTATTGGTATCCACTTCTGTAGCTGCGGGATAGAGTCAATTCCACTCAAAACACTTGAGTCACAAATGATATTAGATTATAATTTTAGCTACATGTGGTCAATAGAGGTCAGCATTAATACAGAACGCTATGCCTGTATCAATGAATGTAGGAAATTAGAAGAAAGGAGTGGAGGCTTGGTAGTGCCATAAAGAAAAATTGGAATTACCAAAGAAAGAATGACTGTAGTCAAGGCACAAAATGTCCACCCAAAGCAGGGATAAACATTTCGTATGACACTGATAGGGACAGGAGACAGGGAAATACTGGGCAGAAGAGGGCGGTTCCCCGGCAAAGGCTCCTCCCTCAAGCCTGAAGACCTGTGACCCTAAATGAGGACGGGTATTTCTGTTTTCAAGCCCAAAAAGTTGCCTTTTGCCCCACCACATCACCTATCCTGCCCCCATATAAACCTGAGACCTGGCCGGGTGCGGTGGCTCACGCCTGTAATCCCAGCACTTTGGGAGGCCGGGGCGGGCAGATCACGAGGTCAAGAGATCAAGATAATCCTGACCAACATGGTGAAACCCCATCTCTACTAAAAATACAAAAATTAGCTGAGCGTGGTGGCGCATGCCTGTAATCCCAGCTACTCGGGAGCCTGAGGCAGGAGAATCACTTGAACCCAGGAGGCGGAGGTTGCAGTGAGCCGAGATCGCGCCACTGCACTCCAGCCTGGTGACAAAGCGAGAATCCACCTGAAAATAATTAATTAATTAATTAAAAAAATAAAATCATAAAATAAAATAAAAACTGAGAGCTTAGCGGGCACACACACAAGCAGCTGAACATTGGGACCAGCTGACCAGTGACAGTGGAACAATGCTGCAGAGAAACAGAGAAGAGAAGGGACATCTGGATGAGATGAGTTCAGCCAGGCTAGGTAGGGGAAAAGTCCAGCCGCTGGGCCGCCGGACTCCAGCAGATTACCACCTTCCCACTCCATTCCCCACTCCCAGCTCCCCATTCATTTCACTGAGAGTCACCTCCATTACAATAAAAACTTGCACTCATCCTTCCAGCTCACGTGTGATCTAACTCTTCCGGTACACTGGGCAAGGTCTAGGTTTACAGAAGGCTGTCATACTGGCCCCCTGCCTTTGCAATAAGGCAGAGGGTCTACTGAGCTGATTAACACACACGCTGTCTGCAGACAGCAAATCTGACAGTTTGGTAACACACACCTACTTGAGCTTCCGGAGTAGCACACACCCACCCCTAGATGCTGCTGTGGGGCCAGAGCCCCAAAGCGCTCATGGCAGCCTCTGCACCTGCCTGTCTGCCGGCTCCTGGCTAGGAGTTTGAGCCACTAGGGAACCAAGTAGGTCACACCTGTTGCACATCTTATGAGAGGAATCAAGGAACTCTCCCATTTCAACACCTAACCATATGCGTGAATTATATATGAACTAGGACTTGGCAGGAATGGAGTAATGGTGTCCCTACTTTTCTGGCTAAGTATTTCTGCCAACTCATTTTCCAGATTCAGAGTCCCTTTTCCACCCCTACACTTTTTAATTAATATGAATTTCCCTGATCATCATGTTTTGCATCTTTCTTTTTAACTTTTAATGTTTAAAGATTAAATTGCTGAAATTAAAAATAGAGTTATTACTCATTAAATGGGCACAGAAGAAACAGAGATGTGTGAGCAGACACTTAAGCTTTAATATCAGAGAGACATGAAACAGATAACCTAGAAGGAGGACCTGGCTAGCAGCATGAATTGAAACACTGAGTGGTGGGGGATGGAGTGCAAATGTACTGTCTTTTGATCGACTTCCTCATGTGCCTCACGTTCATGTTTCCATGATGTTCATCATCTTTTAAATCTCATTTTATTATTAATTTGTTACCTTAAACACCTTTTGAAACTGCTGTCCTCTCCCACTTTGGGCAAATAAATTTAAATGTAGCAGAGTGACTAATTCTCCTCTCACTCCACACTCTTCACCAAAACAACTTGTCTGGAACTAAACTTTTTCCCATCTTCAAAAAGTTGAGTAAAAACCAAAATTGATAATTCCCAGTGTGTTTTCAGATTTGGTCTATGTACTCTCCACCATATAATAAACTGAATTAAATTCTCAAGTTCAATAAAACAAAAAAAACTATTAAATCACTAATTGGACTATTGATAATTATTCTGTTCAATTTATGACCTTCATGTATGCTTATATATTGAAAGTGCCATAATAACATTGCCTTATTGACAAGTTTTAGGTTTAGATACAGAATAGCAATATTTTACGTTAGATGTAAGCAGACACACCTTTTCTTCTCAGTGAAGAAAGGATGTGTGTGTGTTGGGAATTGATCAAATGAGGTTCTTGTTTTTGTCATTTCAATAATGCCTCTATTTCACTTTTTCCCTGGCAGTGAATAAACATACAGAGAAAAGGTCTGTGTCTCTTTAATTTGATATAATTAATTCCACAAAACTGAAGTGTTCAAATTATTTTCTCAAAAAAATCCAGCTCCTTAGTGCAATAATATAAGGCATGTGGGATTTTTGCCTCCTTGAAACATCAAGAACTTATATTAAGTGTTTTCTATATTGACTCACTATTTTATTCTCATCATTCATTCTGGATTCACTACTGCTAAAGGATAGCAGTGTTCCTTCGAGGAGAAAATACTGATCCAGTTTCTAGAGCAACAAAGAAACTCAAGGTAACTTGATAGAGTCCTAAGACCATGCAGGATATTAAGTCAAGCTGTAATGTATACAAGTTTTCTCTGAAATGTATTCTATAAAATAATATCCTGTTTATAGTCATAATCTACTTTCAGTAAAATAAACAATCCTAGCTTCAAGCCTATGTAAATTTCACTATGTTTCTACTAAATCTTAATTTTTCCATAAAAAGATATGTTTTACTGAAAGCATGATCGTATTATCTTGAATGTGACTTCAAGATTTAATATTAATTTTAAATATATTTAATTTTTTCCAATATTCATTTGTATAAGTTAAGATACAAATATATCAATAATATATAATAGCACTCATATAAGAACAGCCTTGGCAATGATTAATAATCATTAATAATGATTTTTAATAATCAATAATAATGCTCATTTTTGTTCCCAATGAGATAAAACTTTAATATGTGTTTGTTGATGAGATTGAACATCATTCCCATGTAGCAGTCAGGTGCACTGGGTGTTCTTGCCCTCCTTTTCCTTTTCCTGTGCTGACAAAGGCTAAAGATTTTCTTGGGGTTTGGAGTGGAAATCAGATTATCATGTCTGACAAGTCAGAATTCTGCCAAGTGGACCAGGAAGCTGGGGACCTAAGGAACAGCTGATGTTGCAGGTTTGGTCTGATGGAAGTATGGAGACAGAATTCCTTCTTACACATAAGACCTCAGTTTTACTTTGTTTTTGTTTCTTAAGGCATTCAACTAATTGGATTTAGTCCACCCACATTACATACGATAATCTGCTATTCTCAAAGTTTGCTGATTTAAATTTTAATTGCATCTAAACACACACACACATTCACACACCCCTTCTAGTGACATCTCTACTGGTATTTGACCAAATATTTTAATATTGTGGCTTACCAAGTTGGTATATAAATTAATCATATGACACCCAAGATTTTTTTTAATCATTGCTATAGCTTCTATCTTATATTTTTGTTGATCATATCAATGAAATTTACAGAAGGAAATAAAATGAAAGTGTTCACAACATTCTATAATTTTTAAAAAGAAAGCTATCACTTCCTACATGTTTGACTATTCATTTGCTTTGTTTTCACAGTTAATTGATTCTATAAGAAAAGTAGAATCCCTTGTTATTTTTAAACATATGAAGATATTTTATTATTCACAAACTATTGATTAAACATTTTAGTTATTTATGAATTATAGTTTGAATGAAATTGAAGTATGGTAACATGATTGATGAGTTTGCAGAGGCACCCTTTGAATCCAATCAGTAATGATTTTTCTTTCTCACACTGCCTGTTCAAACTCCCTCTGTAGGGGCTATTTATTTTTAGCCACTGAGTTCCATAATTTGTCGGGGGGGCAGATTCCATAATTGTGAGTTCAAGCTTAGATAATATGTCATCTTTGTTCATGTCAAAATTATAATTAATATATCAATTCAGTATAAAAATTAAAACTATAAAATAGATTATTAATAGTATGCCCTTTCTTTTCCTAGACAACATCTATATTTCCCCAGACTGACCTGGGGAGAGGCAGAAGTAAGGGAAATGAAAGATATTACCTTTACAAATACGATTGTTCATACCTCCCTTTGGTTGTGACAGATGTCTAAAATATCTTTCCTTCATGTGTTCATGGACATTTTCCTGGCTAGTCTTCTGACTGTACCTCTCTTGACCTGGGCAGTACATATGTGTGCTAACATACCTTATGACACATGTATAGATTTTGCATCCAGAATATTAATATTGACACCTATTCTAAAACCCAGTATATATAAGAAACAACTCATAATCACAGTGGCTTAAATTTACAATTATTTATTATTTATTATTGCTTACAGTCTGTGGGTAGGTTGTAATTCAGCTGATATTGGTTTAATTTGACTGGGTACCTCTTCCTGAAGTTCCAGTGGGTAGGGTGGCTCTGCCTATAAGTACATATCTATAGATTGGTGAGGGCATTTCGCCATACATATTGTTCCCCTGCTATTGGACTAGTGGGCTAAATGGGACGAGAAAGGAGCATAAAGGTGAGAAGAGATATGTGAGGAGGCCTCTGAAAGGTAAGATTTAGAACTGACACACTGTTGCTTCTGCCACATGCCATTGGCCAAACTCTACAGCAAAGTTTAGCAGAAAGTCAAAAGATGGAGATTGGAATCATTCATGCCCTAGATAAGGCCAAGACAATAGATGTGAATATATTATGAGGGTTGAAGAATTCAGAGCAACAAGTCACTCTAATAGAGGTACATCTCCAGGCTCTTTCTAATTAGATGACCTAGGTTTCTTGGGTAGAGTACTTTTAAAACAATCCAGATATATATCTTTCAAGTAGAATATAGAAGATAAGTTCACACTATCACATGCTATAACAATTTAGAAATCAAAAAGCAATGTATTTTCAATATCATGGAGATCTTAAAAACATTGAAGACACTAAGAAAGAGAGAGAAGTTTTCCCTAGGTGAGGACGGATTGCAGGTTACTTTCTTCCCTGGTTGTCTTGATCAAATATGACAATAAGTAAACATTTTTAGGGTGAGAAAAATTTAGGAGAGCTGATAAGAGCTATGAAGAATGGCATAATAAATTAGAATCTGTAGGCAACTCCAACATACAGGTAATTCTCTCTGTCATCTAATTTTCATTTGATGGGTTATTGGTAAGTTCAGAGCTGTGATGAATAGTGTTTGCATGACTGGAAGCTTGGATGGGATATAGAGAGAGAGATTGCATAGTCAAGTTACTTAGTATCAAAAGTCCTTATAGAAGAGGAGCCATAATAGGCTTGACAGGATTGATTCAACACATAAACCATGTGAAATTAAAAAAATAATTGAAATTGACAAAATATGTAATCCAGCCCTGATTTTGCTTTACCTCTGGTTGGATCAAAGTGATCGGCTTTTCAGTCTCAGTGGTTGACAGGAAGAGCATGCCCATCTGTGGAAAATTATATTTATATGTCTTCTTTTTTATTTTTAAAAACACAATGCCCTGCTTTTACTGACTAATATGAGACACATATGGAAACAGAAAAAAGTGTTTCATATTTAAGAGAGAAAATGGTATACAAAACCACATATGCTCCAGATGTGAAATAACAAGAAGAACTGTATGTACACGTTAAAAAACAGAAAGTATGGAGAAATTTGATTTTAAAATAGATAATTTAACAAAATGACAGGCTCACTGAAAAAAGAAAAACATTGGTATTCTAGAACAAAAAAGAAACATCTAAATTAAGAATATAACAGATGGACTTACCAGCACATGGACACATCAGGAGAAATGATTTAAAAACCATAAGGTATGTCAATAAAAAAAATATAAACTGAAAAATTAGTTTAAAAAGGTTGACATGAGCAGAATATGAGATACATATGGGACAATATTAAATTGATTACCATTTCTAATTCAGTCTTAACAGAAAAGGAGTAAATGGGACAGGAGAATAATCTGACCCACCAGATCTGAATAGTGATATGAATTTAAAATGTCAATGCTCATTATCTCACCTGTCAGAAATATAAACAATGCTAAGCTAGATATAAGGTACCTTCTCCTCAAAGAGGACAGCCACTCCAGCGCTTGGTGGCAAGATGGTTATATTGGACCAATTCCATCTGCAAAGAGCAAAAATAAATCCTAAATAGGATTAAAACATTTTTGCAAGTATAGGTTTATATTTCCTGGCCACACTCTTCACTAACATGTAAAGATTTACATAGTATTTTCTCTACTAATATGAAATCTCATGTAATATAACTTTGGACCAAATAACCAACTTTACAGCAAAGGTAGTGTCAGAGTAGACACATGACCAGTAAAGGAAATGAAGATAATGTGCCATTATAAATTATTTTCACCATAAATCTTATGAAGTTTAAAGAATAATACAGTTGGGAAGATAAAATTTTAAAATTCATGCTTTTGGGGGCATAATTGAGATGTCTGAAATGCATGGTTATTTTTTTAAATGGAATAATCCAAATCTCTGGTTACCTAAATTGTTAAGATTAAGTAGCACATGAGAAAACTGAACAGAAGTTAAACATATGCCTGTTAACCCAGTAGGAAATGTACTCCTTCCTGCTTGGAAGAAAGCTGGCTACCCTAAACCTATATTCCTTACAAGTTTGCAAGAACTGCAGTCAGGCAGAGGAAAATAGTCATTTAGAAGCAGTGACAGTCATAACTTACAAATTTTCTCAATGTCATTATTTAATTGGAAGGCCTGTGAAGGGCAGACTTGGAGTGCATACCAGTAGACAGATTATATCTTAATAGTTTACATATAACATTTCCAAAATGTACCCAGATTTTATCTTTTAACAGTCTAAAATTTAGTATTAAAAAGTGTATATGTAAAATAGATATGTATCATATATATGTAATATATATGTATTATATATTATACATATGTATTATAATATGCATTATGTATGTATTACATATAATACATATGTGTGTATGTATACAGTTACATGTATATATACACATAAATTTGTATGTATGTATACATTAGTAGCTATAATTCATACTTCTTGTAAGTACAAGGTATAATTACTAATATGTTTTAGAACATTCCTGAGAGTCAGGATAAATTATTTTATGCTTCTTGGCACAGGAATGAGAACCAAACTCTCTTAAAGAGGGCTCAGGAAGCTACTGTTTTATATGACTGTCATTTGGTTGAATGCCTATTTTGTTACTGAAGTACAATTATTTGTTGGTGCTATCAATAATTATTTCATTGGAAAACTATGGGTCTTCTTTGCAGCTGTATATAACAAAACTGTGGATCAACCATAATTTCTGCATTTTGTTGTATTTCCTAAATTAGCGTAAGGATGAGTTGTTGGAACAGTTAGATAGAAGATCCTAGATTGCTTTCTTCTAGGAGGCTATGCATTGTCTTAATATTAGGTTCTTTCATTGTCAGTTGCATCGACGGGCTAATAAAGTAAGCATTATTATCCTGGAACCAGAAGGAAATATTTGTGTGACCCATTAGTTTTTAGTGAGGAAGTAGTAGACATTTGGGTAACTACTAATTCCACAATTTTACAAGTTAAAAATATTCTTAGTTTTAGCTTGAAAGTTTTGGAGGTTGTTATTTGCATTCTTGAGGTATAATGTCAAACATATTACTTTTACTTTTTTATTTTTAATTTTTGTGAGTACATAGCAGGCATATATACTTATAGGTTACATGAGATATTTTGATACAGCCATGCAAGGTATAAAAATCATGGTAAATGGGTTATCCAGCCCCTCACACATTTATCCTTTGTGTTTCAAAAAGTTGATTATCCTCTTTTAGTACATGTACATAAAATTAAATTAATTTTTTTACTATTACTATTGTTATCCCGTTGTGGTAGCAAATACTAGCTCTTATTTATTCTTTATAGTATTCTTTTGTACTCATTAACCATCCCCACTTTCCCCTCACCTCTCACTACTCTTCTCAGCCTCTGGTAACCATCCTTCTAGTCTCTATCTCCAAGAGTTTAATTGTTTTAATATTTAGCTCCCATATATAAGTGAGAACACATGAAGTTTGTCTTTCTGTGCTTGATTCATTTCACTTAACATAATGACTTCCAGTTCCATATACGTTGTTGCAAATGATAGGATGTCATTCTCTTTTACAGCTGAATAGTATTACATTTTGTGTACATACCACATTTTCTTTATCTGTTCATCTGTTGTTGTACAATTAGGTTGCTTCCAAATATTGGCTATTGTGAACAATGCTGCAATTAACATTTTTTGTACTTACCATTGCCAGTGAATTTTGTACTTTCAGATATCTTTCTGATTGACAGACTCCCTTTAGTATTTCTTGTAGGACAGGCCTGGTGTTGAGAAGATTTTCAGCTTCTGTTTTCTGGGAAAGCATTAATTTCTTCCTCATGTTTGGAGGATAATTTAGCCAGATATACTATTTTTTGGTGAGTTTCTTCCTTCAGGGTTTTAAATATGTCATGCCACTCTCTTCTGTCCCGTATGTTTTCTACTGAAAATCCTACTGCCAGACATATTGGAGCTCTATTGTAATTTTTTTTTATCTTTTCTCTTGCTGATTTTAGGATCCTTTCTTTTTTTTCTTCTCCTGCGGGAGTTTGATGATTGAATGCCTTGAAGTAGTCCTCTTCAAGTTAAATTAGCTTGTTGTTCTATAACATTGATATCAATATCTTTCTTTAGGTTTGAGAAGTTCTATGTGATTATCACTTTAAATAACCTTCTACTGCTACCTCTTTTTCTATCTCCTCT
Source organism: Homo sapiens (assembly GCF_000001405.40). Taxonomy (NCBI): domain Eukaryota; kingdom Metazoa; phylum Chordata; class Mammalia; order Primates; family Hominidae; genus Homo; species Homo sapiens. Next base: position 30,724,536 of record NC_000009.12, on the reverse strand, counting down.
TTAAGGTCAATAACTCTTAAATTGCCCCTTTTAAGATTGTTTTCAAGAACTTGCAGGCGTGCTTTATTGTTGTTTATTCTTTTTTTTTCTTTTGCCTCTTCTGACTATGTATTTTCAAATAGCCAGTCTTCAAGCTCACTAATTTTTCCCTTTGCTTGATCAACTCTGTCATTAAAGAATTCTGATGTGTTCTTCAGTATGCCAATTTTATTTTTTAACTCCAGAATTTCTGCTTGGTTCTTTTTAATTATTTCAATCTCCTTGTTAAATTTACCTCATAGAATTATGAATTCCTTTTCTGTGTTATCTTGAAATTCTTTGAGTCTCCTCAACACGGCTATTTTGAATTCTCTGTCTTACTGGTCACAAATCTCTGTTTCTCCAGGATTGGTCCCTAGTGCCTTATTTAGCTTGTTTGGTGAGGTTATATTTTCCTGTATGCTGTTGATACTTGCAGATGTTTGTCCATGCCTCAGCATTTAAGAGCGAGGTAATTATTGTAGTCCACAGTCTGGGCTTATTTGTACCCATCCTTCCTGGGAAGGCTTTTCAGGTATTTGAAAGGACTTGAGTGTTGCAGTCCAAGGCATATCTGGATTAGGGGGCATCCCAAGCACAGTAACACTGTGGTTCGTGCAGTCTCATAGAGATACTATACCGGTGGTTTTGGATAAGAGCCAGAAGAATTCTCAGGATTATCAGACAGAGACTCATTCTCTTCTCTTACTTTCTTCCAAATAAACAGAGTCTCTCTGTCTGTGCTGAGCTACCTGGAGCTGGGGATGGGTTCACAGAAACACTTTTATGCCCGCCACCACTGGGACTGTGCTGGGTCAGATCTGAAGCCAGCACAGCATTGGGTCTCACACAAGGCCCACAGTAACCACTACCCGGCTACCACCTATGTTTTCTCAAGGCCCTGGGGCTAGTACAATCATCAGTGGTGAAGCCAGATAGGCTTTTGGCCTTCCCTTCCAGGTCATGAGTTCTGCCAGGCCCCTGGTGGATCCAGAGACACTGTCCATGAGCCAGGGGCTGGAGTACAAATCCTTAGAAATCTACCTGGTGTCCTATGAATTGGTGCTGAGCTGGCTCTCAAACCATTTAATACAATCCTTCCCACTTTTTTCTCCTCTTCCACAGGCAGAGGAGCCTCATCTCATGGCCACGACCACCACAGGCCCATTGGGAGTACTGCCAGGTGTTCACCAATGTCCACTTAATGCCCAAGGGCTCTTTGGTCAGCTTGTGGTAAAGGTTGCCAGGCCTGGGACTCACATTTCAGGATAGTAGGCTCCCCTCCGGCCCAGGTAATGTTCAGTAATGCTGTCTAAAAGCCAAGTCCCAAAATTAGTGACCTCAATAGCTTCCAAGTCCCAAAATTAGTGACCTCAATAGCTTGTTTGCTATTCTATCATCCTATAGCCAAGAGAGTGTCTAAGGCGCAAGACAAAGTCCCCTTTACTTCTCCCCCTGCTTTTCTCAAGGAGATAAATTCTCTCACCTTAGCCACCACAGCTGGAAATATGCTGTTTCACCTGCAGTTGGCATGTTTCAGAGTCTCACCTAAGGCCCATGACCTACTACCTGGGTATTGCTGCTGGTTATTTGGCGTCCAAAGGCTCTTAAGTCAGCAGGTGATATGTCCTGCCAGGAGCGGGTCCTTCACTTCAAGGCAACAGTTTCCTTTCTGGTCCAGTCCAGTATGTGTCTAGAAAGGTTATCCAGGAGCTAGGGCCTAGATTGGGGACCTTACAACTCTGCCCAGTACCCTATTTACTGGGGCTAAGCTGCTATCCAAGATGCAAGACACGATCTTATTTGTTTTTTTCTTTTCTTCTCTTCAGGCAGAAGGATCGGATCTCTTTTGGAGCCACAAGTTCTGCAGCCAAGTGTTGGGGAAAGCGTGGCCCAAGCACTCCCTTATGTGTTCCTGCTGGTGTCTCAGTAGGCTGCATGTTCCCCTAGTCCACTGACTCTGAGCCCAGATCAATATTAGTACTCATCTACGAGTTGCAATTCTTGTGGCCCAGACTGTGTTTCAGTTTATTCAAAGCACCAGAGCACTGCAGCCCACAGTGGAAAGGCTTGCTGAACTCAAATTCTGACCACTGGGATGGGCAATTCTCATCTGTCCAGGGTCAGTTCAAATGCTTCCTCTGTGGGCAAGCGTCAGCTAAGTACAGCCTAGTTTTGCTTTACACTGTAATAGTGCAGCATGGAGTTAAATCTAAGTCTCACAATTACTGAGCTCTTTCTCCCTCAGTGCACAGATTCTCCACACCACACAGCCCTTTCAGGGGGATGGGGGAGGAGTGGCATTAGCAATTCAAGACTGTTTTTATTACCCTTTTCATTGCCTTTCAGTAACATGGAGTTAAAACCAAGTACTGGCCAGGCGCAGTGGCTCACGCCTGTAATCCTAGCATTTTGGGAGGCCGAGGTGGGCGGATCACCTGAGGTCAGGAGTTCATGACCAGCCTGGCCAACATGGTGAAAACCCGTCTCTACTAAAAATACAAAAAAATTAGCTGGATGTGGTGGCAGGCGCCTGTAATCCAAGCTACTCAGGAAGCTGAGGCAGGAGAATCGCTTGAACCAGGGAGGCTGAGGTTGCAACAAGCCGAGATCACACCATTGCACTCCAGCCTGGGCAACAACAGTGAAACTCCATCTCAAAAAATAAAAATAAAAATAAAAAATAAAATAAAACCAAGCACTGTGAGTGCTCATCTATTTTTTTTAATTATTTTTATGAAGGTGTATTATTTTGTGTGTAGATAACTGTTAAATTTGTTGTTCCTGAATGGGGGACTGATCAGTGCGATCTTCTATTTTGCCATCTTGCTCCACCCTCTCAAACATATTTTTATGGAAGTTATTTACTCTGGTCAATTGCTCTGCCTGAGTTGTTCTCCAAGATATTCTCATAACTAACCTTTTGTCATTCAAGTCTTAGTTCAGTAACAATTCACCAGAAAGACCTTTCATCTACTCCGCAACTGATTAATAGCAGATTAGACTTAGCAGAAGAAATAAAATATTAAACTTGAATAAACAGCGACAGGAATTATCCAAAATGAAATACTGAGAGAAAAAAAAAGACTCAAAAAAAAAAAAAAAAAGAATAACACCAGTAATCTTCAAAGGGCCCATTATACATGTGACTAGAATCCCCAAATAAAAGGTGAGAAATAGCTTGGTGGGTAGGAAGATAAATATATAAATTAAAATGATTTAATTTCTCTCACATTTAATTTAAAAACTAAATCCACAGATATAAGTTTCTCAACAAACCTCAAGTATAACACAAAGACACATCATTATGATAGTCCCTAAAACTAGTGACAAAAAATTCTTAGATATAGTAACAGTAAAAGACACTTTTTTTAGATGGAGAATTGGAGACAAACATTACAGAAGATTTCCTGTCAGACCATGAAATCTTGAAAGTGAAAAGATAATTAAACAGCACCTTTAAAAATACTAAAAACAAAACAAAAAGCCACTTGACAACCTGGGATTTATATCTAGAAAAATTATCTTTCATAAATAACAGTAAAATAAAGACTTTTGCAAACACACAAAAGTTGAGAGAATTCATCAACAGCAGATCTGAATGGCAATAAAAAATAAGTTTTGTTAAGAAAGAAAGTGATACCTTGTACCCTCGGCTATTATTACCACAGGTCACATATCAATAAATGTTTGATAAATGATTCACTTGATTAAATAATTAATTAGGTACATAAGTTATCACGGTATCATTCACATAATATATAAAAAAGAGAGATTTAATTCTGAATTCTAATTTAATCTGATTTGTCTCTCCAGAATAACCTACAGCCTTTCTTAACACTTTCTAGTTGCACTAGTTCCTGAAGACACATGTTCAAGGACAGCTCTTTAGGGTGAGGGTCACTATTATATAGAATTTCACTGTGGATGTTTGAAATAAAAGCATTTTATTCAAATTTGTCGAAGTTATATATATATATATAAAGAATATATATTGCTTCAAGTAAAATTTCAATCTCAATCTTTCCCGAAGTAGCAGAGAATGATCATATTTACCCTTCTTAGCATAATAAGGGCATTGATTAAATTTAAAATTTTATAAGTCTAATTATTAAGACAATATCAAGTAGCTTTTTCAGTTAAGATGGAAAAAATCATCTTCTACAAGTATTAGTAATACACAAATAAAAGCATCTATGATAGTGGAAACTTGTGATTTTTCTCTTGTATTATTAACAGCACATACATAAATAAAAATGCCATCAAATATAATAATAGTGAGCTTCTCTTCTCGTTAGGAATTGAAAAATCACAATAGGCATTACTCTTTCTTAATAACCAAAGCCAGCCAGATAAGATTAACAAATGATAGTTTTCAAAACTCTCCAGGTTGTGATTTGCAATGAATACTGATTAAACTGAATTTCAGAAGAGTGACAAGACATTACGAAGAAAGAAGATACCCATGGCTGCTTTCATCTCTGGATCAGTGTCAGGTAAAAAATAAATTCCCAATTGATGCAATTAAGAAGAAACCGACCAACTTTTAATAGTTGACTGTGGCATGTGTATGAAATTATTGACATATCTCAGACATTGAAGAAGTTTGAGCCACTCTCCAAAGCATTCTACTGAAACTTTACAAGTGCATGGGGATACAGGTTTAAGGGTAGGGAAGGAAATAATTGCACAAAGATATTCCTTCTGAAGCATCCAAGGTCTTCTCTGGTAGCATGGTAACAGTTTTCAATGGATAGACGCAGGACAGGAGAGCTGAGAGAAATATTCTAGGTTCTCTGGGTCTTCACTATTTGTATTGTTTCTGCTTTCTAAATTTGGGGCCAGGGAAGTATAGCAGAGAGAGATTTTCTTATTGCAAAAATTGGAGGACGAGAGTGAAAAAAAAATGAGAAATCTGTAGCAACACACAAAGGTGGTATCCAGACTACAACGCAGATATAAATATCTTATTCCAAAAGCTAGCAGCTGTTTGGTAGGTCTCCACGAATCTTAAGCTCTTTACCTGTGCTCATATCTCAAACTCTTCTGAACAGTCCTGATGTTACACTTAAAACTTAAAGCATGTACTGAAGTGAACCTAATTAAAGTCACAGCATAGCCCATACTGTGCTCAACTTAAAATTTTATTAACTCAAATTTTCATACAAGTAGCCTAAAAGAATAAATGTGTTGCTCTTTACTTAGTGTCAATATTATTTACTCCACTCTCTGGTTATTTCTCAGAGAGTATTTTGCATGCAAGTAAGACCATAGGAGCATAAGACTCATATTTTAGAGAAAAGAGAAAATCAAACTTAAAATGGCTCATATGTTTGCATAGTCAAATGAGAAATCTAAAATAACTAATAAAACCTTGTTAAAGGGTCTTTTCAGAGACATGAATAACATTTATGAATATATGAGAAATTTCAACAGAAAGACATAATCAACTAGATAGAAAATTTAGAAATTGAAACAAAATTACATAAAATTTATATTTATTTGATAAGCTAAAGAGAAGGCTAAACATAACAGAAGAAAAAAAAGGATGGATTTGAAACAGATCAGATTAATAGAAATTAAATTTTGATATAAAGAGGAAAAGAGATTTGAAAAAAATACAGAACTTCAAATGTTTTAGAAAAATAAACATTACAATTGGAATCCCAGGAGAGAAGAGAGAAAATGGTCTAAAAGAAGTGATGAGATAATGACTGAGAATGTTTTAAAATTATTTTGTTAAGAACAGAATGACTAACTTACATTCCTACCAGCTGGGTATAAGCATTCTCTTTCCCCCACAAACTTGCCAACATCTGTTATGTTTCGACCTTTTAATAATAGCCATTCTGACTGGTATGAGATGATATCTCACTCTAGTTTTGATTTACATTTCTCTAATGATCAATGATGTTAAGGCTTTTTTCCTATATTCATTGACCACATGTGTGTCTTCTTTGGGGAAGTGTCTATTTATATCAGGTACCCATCAGCCACTGTGGAAATCATTTTGGAGATTTCTCAAAGAATTTAAAACAAAACTACCATTCAACCCAGCAATTCCTTTACTAGTTACATATTCAAAGGAAAATAAATCATTCTACCAGAAAGACACATGCACTTGTATGTTCACTGCAGCTCTATTCTCAATAGCAAAGACATGAAATCAACCTAGATGTCCAACAATAGTGGACTTGATAAACAAAATATAATACATATACATCATGGAATGTTATGCAGTCATAGAAAAGAATGAAATCACATCCTTTGAAGCAAGATAGAGCTAGAGGCCATCATTCTAGGGGAATTCACATGAGAACAACAACAACAAAAAAAAATTTCACAGGTTCTCTCACATCTTATGTAAGAGTTAAACATTGAGTACACATGCACACAAAGATGAGAGCAATAGAGACTGAGGACTACTAGAATGGGAGGGTGGGAGGAGGGTGAGGGTTAAAAAACTACTTATCAATATGATGCTCACTACCCTGGTGGCAGGATCGTGCATAAACCAAACCCCAGTGACGTGCAATTTACCCATATAACAAACCTGTGCATCTATCTTCTGAATCTAAAATAAAAGTAAAATGCAAACACACACACACACACACACACACACACACACACACACACACGCGACACCAAACAGGATGAATACAAAGAAACTGAAATTAGGCACATCATTGTTGTACTGGCGAAAATCAAAGAAAAAGAGGAAAGGTTAACATTCGCTAGAAAAGATAATGATACATTGTATTTGGGGAACTAAAAAATAAAAATGGATAATTTCTAATCAGAAATAATAAAACGTCTTAGAAACAATGTCAAGTAAGCTCTGATATTTGGAAGCCAGACTCACTAATACATAGACTTTTATGTTGACAGGAACTGCCTAGTTCTCACAGGTACGTTGGTGGCCTTACATTAAACACAAACAATCTTTTAGAACTACATTAAATAATCACCCTGTGATTATGACAAACTGACAAAAGAGAACTACTTAGTAATTATTTCTGAACACAGATAAAAATGAAGTCCCTGTGGAAGACACAAAGATGAACAACCTGTTTGATATGGTGTGGATGTGTATCCCCACCCAAATCTCATGTTAAATTGTAACCCCCAGTGTTGGAGGTGAGGTCTGGTGAGTGGTGATTGAATTACAGAGCCAGAGTTCTCATGAATGGCTTAGTACCATCCGCCTTGGTACTGTATAATGAGTACGTTCTCATGAGATCTAGTTTTTTAAAAGAGCATAGCACTTTCTCTCTGCTCTCTTTCTCATTCTCTACCATGTAAGATGTCCCTGCATTCCCTTTGCCTTCTGCCATAATTGAAAGTTTCCTCATGTCTCCTCAGCCATGCTTTCTGTATAGCCTGTGGAATCATGAGCCAACTGAAGCTCTTTCCTTTGTAAATTACCCAATATCAGGTATTTCTTTATAGCAATGCAAGAACAAATACAATCTTCACTCTACTGATATTTTCTTTACCAATAGCAGCTTTAGGTTACAGCTATGTTGTTACAATTTTCTCGATGAGATTTACTAATAACTAGATTACTCTCTTTACTGATAGCACCAAAACTGAACCACTTTTTCTCCTTGAATCTTTCACAAAATTATTTAGCATAAGTTCAAATTCTATAATGCCTTATTCTTTACACCTTCTAAAAGAGTCTTCATGTTTCCTCCTGGGACGCCTTTTTCATATAGTAAATATTGATTACAAGTGTGTTCTTGGATATATTTAACTGATAACTATTACATCTTGAAACCATTGAAAAGAAAAGAAATAGACTATAAGTTAATATCCAAATAAATTGCCATTCAAATATGAAAACAAAGTAAAGGTATATGCTCTCAAGAAGGAATATAATTTGTCTCTAGAACAGCTCCAGTGCAAGATGTGCAAAAATCATTTTGTATGAAATGCAAAGAACTGAAAAGCAAAAGCATTCCTGAAGAAAAAAATAAAATCAGAATATTTATACTCTATGAAAGACTTACTTAAAGCTAAAGTAATTAAGACAGTGTAGTAAAGTTTAAGCATAAAAAATGAATCACTGGAGCAGAATTGATTGTCCAGAAGTAGACTCAATTATGTGCTTTTTATTGCTATTTGACCAACATAGGCATCCATTCAATATGAAAAAAGACTGGAATATAGATTTAGAAAGATGATGTATGAATGGTTAACAAACACATTAATAAGCTGATGAAAATTGTCATTAGGAAAATGTAAATTAAAATGAAAATAAAGTATTTTCTTAAAAACATTAAAATAGCTAATACGGAAAAGATCAATAATATCAAATGTTTTAAATATGGAGAAAACAAAAAACAGTCATTCATTTTTGGTGTCTTGTGGGTAGCAAAAATTATACAACCAACTTGAAGAACCATTTAACAGTTTCTGACAAAGTTACATATACACCTACACTGTGACCCAGCAATTCAATATCTTGCTATTTACTCAAGATAAATGAAAATATACGTATGCTACACACACACACACACATTCACACACACAAACACACATATACACATGCAGAGATACAGAGAGAAAAACCAGTTTAAGAATGTTCCAAGGGAGCAAGATAGTGGTCTAGGATTCTACAGAGGTTGTCGCCTGTAACATCAGTTTGAACAACTATTCGCACATCAAAATACTTTTACATTAGCTGTGCAAATCAGATGAGAGATTATATCACCTGGATGTAACACAAAAATAAAAACAAATGCATTAAAGGGGTAGAAAGTATAGTTTTATGTTACCTATATCACCCCTAGGCAAGAAGGTATTGACAAAGATACCCTCCTTGTGGAAGAAGGAAAGGGAAGTGAGCACAGAACTCTGCCTTGGACTTCAAAACCAGACTTGCTACAGCAAAATCCAGCACTGAGCAGGCCACTATGACCACCCCACCTCTATGCTGATGCCCACAGACTGATCCTCCTCCCGGCTTGCCCAGGTGCTAGGCTGGACCTCATAGACCTAGGCTCCAGGAATGCAAGGCAGACTCTATCTTTAGTCTGCCCCACTACAAAGTCAAACTCAGTGACCCCACACCCTGGTCTACACTCAAAACCAGGCCACCCCCAGTGGCACTCAGCTTCAACTTACTCCAATGCCAAGCTGCCCAAGCAGCATTGAGCTTTGGGCCTGCCTCAGCATGAGGCTGTCCTCAGCAGCTTCTGGGTTTATATCTACCCTGCCATTAAGTCAGCCCCTGTGGCCCCAGGCTTTGGGCTGGTGGCTGGGGATATGGGCTCAATGCCTACCAGAGCAGACTCAATTATCTTGCCTTTCTCAGTGGATGCAGGCCCTAAGCTGTTCTAGCAAAGCTCTGTCAGTTATTGTAGTTTTATATTATATATTGTATATCATATGAAACTCAAAACCTAGAAGCTTATTAACTCAATTAAGTATATCATATAAAACACAAAACCTGGAAGTCATTTATATTTATGTCTTATCTTCTATTTATTTTGTATTTTTATAAAAATACATTGAGTGCGCCCCTCAAAAAAAACTGTATGAGCTAGCTGGACTTGAGTTTTCCTAAGGATTAAATAAGAAAAATACAAACAAACAAAATAATCAATAGAAAATCCTACTACCTGAAATAGACCAAGCTGGGAATAAGCATTGAATTTTATTCTGCCTGTATCCATGGGCCACTTTGTTAGTTACTATTAGTAACACAGATCTCTTCTTTTTAGGAATAATTGGAATAATTAAAGGGGCAAGAGTCATGTCATATAACCTAGTTGTTTCATTGCACTAGGGATTATTATAATTTCACTCTTCACTACTTTTTTCTAGGATATTTTTTCTAATTCTTATCTCTAGATGTAAATCATTCCCAGATCAAGGTGCTCATACTATAATTGAGTAAAAAAAAGTCTTATCTGGTTGAGCACTTGAGCACTGTTTCGTGGGTGCTTTATGTTGTTGGTCCTATCTGTTCCAGCTTGCCTGCTTCTATCCATTTTTCTTCTTTGAATACCCAATGTCATATTACTTCTTAAAATTTCATTGTAAAATCTCATTGTGCAACCCCAACTCTTTAACTTTTCATTTAATTTTTTAAATTCCTACATTGTGGAGAGCTTTGTGAAGACCTTCAGGAACAAATTAAATCTTTTAAATTTCAATTTATTTATGGGTTCCATAAAAATACATAGGAGGTTTAGCAAATGGTTAGAGAATTACTTCCCCAAGGAATAGAGAATATTGTAGGAATTCTACTCATCATTCAAAAGTTGATGGTTTTTGAGCCCTTAACAGCCTGATTATATGCCAGAGAGCTTTATCAATTTGTTAAATATACCCAAGCACTTTGAGTAGCTCCTGTCTCCATCACCACCCTGAGTGAGAAAGTAAACCTGCAATAAGGGCCAAAAGAGCCAGCGTGAATTCATTCTTTTAGAAAGTTCTAAGGCTAATGAATCAACAGAAAGAGAAATAGTTTCCACTTAAATGCAGGGAATATGTTTCCAAGACCTCCAGTAAATGTCTGAAACCACGGATAGTACCAAACTGTGTGTGTGTATATGTGTGTGTGTGTGTGTGTGTGTGTGTGTGTGTATTTATATAGATATATAGTGTGTGTGTATATATATATACACATTATATCTGTATAATGTGTATATATATAATGTGTATTATGTAGTTAATGTTTTTTCAATACAAACATTTATAAAACAATTTAGTTTGTAATTTAGTTTATAAATTAGGCACAGAAAGGAGTTGGCAACAAAAACCAATAATAAAATAGAACAATTACAGCAATGTATTAGCATCACTACTTTTGCACTTTGAGACCATTATTAAGTATAATAAGATGTGCTTTTTTTTTTTTAATTTGAACACAAGCACTGAGGTACTGCAACAGTTGACCTAATAACTGGGATGGCTACTCAGTAACTAACAGGCAGATAGCATAGATGCTGTGGATAGTCTGGACAAAGGGATAATTCATGTCCCAGATGGGTCAAATAAGGACATAGAAATTGCAGATAAGGAGGAACTATTGCCTCTGCTAGGAAAATCAGACAAAAGATAATTGGCCCAGATGAAAGGCAGTCAATGTTGGGCAGCTCTATGCCAGTGGGAGAAGCTGCTTTTCCTGAAAAGAAAGGAGAAAGTGGAGGAGCTGTGAGGTTATATTCCTACATAAAATCCACAAATACTGAAGCAGCTTCAGAGCTGATGCCTTCTTATTTGTTTCCCTCTGAAAATACCTCTTCTAAAGAATTGAGTCCCTGTACTACATGTAATATGTAGCCAGAATGTAAAACACTTGTAATAGGAACAGAGCCACACTTTTATTAAAGAGATTTTCTCTTCCCCACTCTCTCATATTTCATTCTTAATTCACTTCACTGCCTATGGGAACCAAGGGAATGAAGAGTAGAATAAAATATCCTCTATTTTTCATTTGCTTATTTTACAAAAGCCCTGGGGCCTAGAAAATGAAACCCCATGTAAGGAACTGTGAAGGAAAAACCATGGAAGCAATTAATCTTTCCCTGGGCTAGTAGGCAGACTTGTCTAAGGCAAATCACACTGTGGCTCATGGCCTAGCCCCACCTTAACCCTTAACACTAACAACACTAACGTGGCTGGGATCAGCAATATCTGACAGTCCCAAGGCTGTTCTTTGCAACACAATTTGAGAAAGAGGGAGACTTTGACTATGAACTATAACTAGGTATAAATAGTTTGAAAGAAAAATTGAGATAATGGGTCCTCTGAAGAATAAGCTTTGGTATTAGTACTGCAAATTTATTCATACTAATCATTTATTATGTTCATTAAACTGTACGATAAAAATTATCTAACTCAGTACTGATTTTCGTCACAAGCTTACCATCTATCTATGTAGTCGAATGTATGGACTTAACATGTGAACTTTAAGTTTGTGAATTCCTTCTTGGGTTTAAAAATCCTTTCTCTGAGTTTCTCTCTCTCTCTTTTTAATTATCAGTGTTTTCTATTTCCTTATCTTCTTCTTCCATCTTTTGTTCTTTATATAGTCTGGGATTAGAGGAGGCGTATACGACCTTACGGCAGGGAACACAACACAAAAAGATCACGAGATCCTTCCTGAGGATCCTTCCTCTCTCTTATTTTGCTTATTTTTACTGTATTTGTACTATGTCCACTTTTTATTTTTCATATTATTTAAGAATATTATTTTATTTCTTTGTATTATTTATGGATATTATTTATTCTTCATATTCTTCATATTTATATTTTGTCTTCAGCAGTATAGACAGAAGTATGCCTATTTTATTAAATATTACAAAGTAACTAGGATATTGTTGCTATCCTTTGTTACTTTTTAATTTTATGCTTCATTTATGTCATTTTTATAATGTCCTTCCTTTATTTTATAGTTTAATTCTTTATATTCTAATTTTTCACTGGTGCTACTTAACTCACTAATTGGCAGCTTGCATAACTTTTAGTAATAAGAGTGTAGTATGATAATTAAATAGATCTTATTTAAATCTATAAATTTCTCTTAAAAACAACTTAAATGAATATATACAATACATTTTCTTAAAATAGAAGCTCTCAAAGTATGACTTGGAAACACCTGGTTGTCTCTGAGATCTTTTAAAAGGGTTACGAGTTTAAAACTATTTCAAAATAATACTTACATATTATTCACTATTTTCACTCTCCTGCTCTCATGAAGCAAGGTGGAATTTTCCAGAGGCTAGGTAATATGACATAATTGTTCTTATGACTAATCAAATTTGTGCTTGTGCAATATTGTATTTGAAAAATTTTTCTGCTTTATTTTCTAATATGGAAAATATTGAAAGATACTTCCTACATGCACAAGATCTGTAAGGTACTTCAATAATGCCTAATATTTTAACAGAGTCCTGAGAACAAAAGTTTGAGAAACTCTTCTTTAAAGCTCCAATGTACCTGATTATAGAAATGTGTTATTGATGAGTTCAAAGTATCATTTCCCATATAATGTTTTTCTTAATCCATTACTTATTTAAATTTGTGTTTCAAAATGTAATTTGAGAATATCTTTTATTATTGATGTGTAACTAGGATGATAATGTAATTTAACATACAAATAAAGGTGCTTTTAATGGTATCTTTTTATATGTCTTTCCTTGGATATGGGCTATTGGACATAAAAATAGACTCTCCCAGCTCAAACCAATGTCTATGCTTATTGCATTTTTAACAAGATTGTACTGTGTTTAGAAACCTAATAGGTACAATTCTTTCATATTTTTGACTTTTGCTTTATGGTTTTGTGTGTTCCATTTAAAAAGTAACTTTCATGTATGCTTATAAAGAACATATATATTCTTTGTTATAGTCAGTGTGTATATACATATACATATATATATATATATGCTCATTGAACAAGATCTATTTGTTCTTCCCAAATATTCTACACCTGAACTATTGTTTGTTTTTGTCTGCAGAATTCTTATTTTATGAAAGAGATGTGTAAATAATAATTAAATTTAAATTTATGTGTTTGCAGCTATATTAGGCTGATGGATCTTGGAAATTATATTATGAATGAAATATTTCATATGTATGAATTTCTCTCACTATATCTAAACAATGCTCCTAAAATGACATCTATTTATGTATTATTGTAGATATGCCAACTATGTATATTCTTTTTCTTTTTTCTTTCAACTTTTTTTGTATTTTTATTTTTTCCAAGATTTCTCTACTGAATGGCGAATAGGAATATGAGATTTCTTTCTTTTCTCTCCAGTGGACTATTTGAAAGCACATCAAATTTATCATGTCACAAACCAAATACATGATCTTACCTCCCAAAACCTGCTGTTTCTTCTTTTTAATACCAAGCATAATTTTCTACTTCCTCAGAAGTCATCTAAAATTTATTTCTCTGGCACGGCACAGTTAATTTTCAGCATATAGTATTGACTTTACCTTCCAAATAGATTGAACCACTTCTTACCACTTCATTAGTACTCTAGTCCAAACTACCATTCTCTCCTGGATTATTTATTTACGTATTTATTAAGAACACTGTTATCTGAAATCTAAAAACCTGCAAAGACATGCACAAATCTTGAGGCCACATATTTTATTTGTAGCAACTAACCAGATGACAAATATTTCACTAGTAGCATTCCAAACGTGCCCCTTTTGCCCTCTCCCAGTCACTAACTACACAGAAGTTATAACTACTGTAAAGTCTATCATCATATATTAGATATACTTGTTTGAAAAATTTATAAACTTCATATAACCATTATTAACTCATTTGTGTCTAACTATTGTTAAACTTAAGGTTTTTGAAATTCAAATGTTGTACATGTGCAATGGTTCCTTTATTTTTATTGCTTCATAGTATTCAAATGTGTAAATACTCCACAATTAATTGATTTATTACTATGGACAACTGGATTGTTTCTAATTTGGGCCAAATTAAGTTGCCATGAATGTTTGTACGCATAAAGTTTGCTACATATATGCGTGTATTTTTTGTTGGGTACATAACTAAGAGTGAAATTGTTAGGTCACAAGATACATACATGTTACATACGAGCATATCATGTCAATCAATTTTTCTACTATTGCAACAAATTTCCACTTCACAGTCAGTACATGAGAGATCTAGTTACTCCATAGTTTTCCAAATGCTTGGTATTGTGTGTGTGTGTGTGTGTGTGTGTGTGTGTGTGTGTTTATTTTAGACATTCTAATGGATATGTATTGCCATTCAATTATTATTTTAAAACAAAGTGCAACATCTTCCTATGTCCAGAGGCCATTTATATATCCTCTATTGTGAAGTACTTATTCTTGTTTATTTTTCTTCCTTTTGCTGATGGGTTGTCTGCCTATTCCCTATCAATTTCTAAGAGTTCATTTATTCTCAATATCAGTGTTATTGTTGGGTATATTTACTGAAAACATCTCATCTCATTCAGTCACTAACCTATACCTATCTTACTGTTTGATGAATAAAAGTTATTCATTTTAAAAATGTCATGCTACTCATTATTTTATTTATGATTAGCACGTTTTGTCATTTTCAATAAATCTTTGCTTGTTTGAAGGTTATGAAGACACTACTCTGAATTTTTTTCTAGAATTGTGATTCTTTTTTTTATACATAACTGCAGTCCATCCAGATTTTATTTTTGTGTATAATATGAGATGAAATCAACAATACTTTGTATTTTTATTAAATGTATACATACCTATTATACGACTTTGGAAGAATTCTTGTGAGGTGACCTGTTATTAATTTTATTTAGTGCCTATCAGACTGCTATTAGCATCATTTATTGCAGTAATTTTCTTCTTTAAGATTCTTTGTTGGCAGCAAACTTAGGGGTACAAAAGTGAAAAAAATATGTGAATATTGTTTGTGATGTCAACTGAGATCTTCTTCAGGGCACCCAGAAATACAAGTTGAAATTTTGCAGAACTATACAGATTTTGCTATATCAGAGTCAGCAGAAAAATTAAAATATAATCTTTAGTTGTTTGTATGGCATTTAGCCATTCCAATAGGTGTATAGAGATATTGAATTATTATGTTATATTGTGTTTTTATGATGACTAACAAAATGCAATGTTTTCATGTCCAGGGACCATTTAGATATGCCCTTTTGTGAAGTTCTTGGTGTGTCCAGAGAAAATATAATTACTTAAGGCAAAAATTTTAAAAAGTAGAGTTAACCAAATAATGATTATCCCATACTGAAGCTATTTGTAAAGATGCTGGATCTCCATAGGAGTCTCTGTGTTTGAAAGAAAAAAGAGATACATGTCCACTAAAACACTTTCAGCTTTTTCTAACATATACACCATTGATAATTCCTGAACTAATGATTTGAATATAATAGATGTTAGTACACATTTGTTGAATTAAAAAGTAGCTTACTCTATAAAAGACAAGACATTGCTGCAAGCCTATTGTTGGGAACAGGCCCCCAAATCTGGCCATAAACTGGCTCCAAAACTGGCCATAAACAAAAACTCTGCAGTGCTGTGACATGCTCGTGATGGCCATGATGCCCACGCTGAAGGTTGTTGGTTTACCAGAATGAGGGCAAGGAACACCTGCCCCACCCAGGGCAGAAAACCACTTAAAGGAGTTCCTTTAGAGCAGCATGATTTATAGTCCTTTGGGTATATACCCAGTAATGGGATGGCTGGGTCAAATGGTATTTCTAGTTCTAGATCCCTGAGGAATTGCCACACTGACTTCCACAATGGTTGAACTAGTTTACAGTCCCACCAACAGTGTAAAAGTTTATGCGGCATTATTCACAATAGCAAAGACTTGGAACCAACCCAAATGTCCAACAATGATAGACTGGATTAAGAAAATATGGCACATATACACCATGGAATACTATGCAGCCATAAAAAATGATGAGTTCATGTCCTTTGTAGGGACATGGATGAAATTGGAAATCATCATTCTCAGTAAACTATCGCAAGAACAAAAAACCAAACACCGCATATTCTCACTCATAGGTGGGAATTGAACAATGAGACCACATGGACACAGGAAGGGGAACATCACACTCTGGGGACTGTTGTGGGGTGGGGGGAGGGGGGAGGGATAGCATCAGGAGATACACCTAATGCTAGATGATGAGTTAGTGGGTGCAGCGCACCAGCATGGCACATGTATACATATGTAACGAACCTGCACAATGTGCACATGTACCCTAAAACTTAAAGTATAATAATAAAAGAAAAAAAAAAAAAAGGAGTTCCTAAACCACAAACAATACCATGAGCAATCTGTGCCTTAAGGACATGTTCCTGCTGCAGATAACTAGCCAGAGCCCCTCCCTTTGTTTCCCATAAGGAATATTTTACTTAATCTATAATCTATAGAAATAATGCTTATCACTGGCTTGCTGTCAATAAATATGTGGGTCAAACTCTGTTCGGGGCTCTCAGCTCTGAAGGCTGTGAGTCCCCTGATTTCCCACTCCACAGTCTATATTTCTGTGTGTGTATCTTTAATTCCTCTAGTGCCACTAGGTTAGAGTCTCCACAACTGAGCTGGTCTTGGCAATCTATATTTCACAAAGATTTACATCCAAAATTAGTTGAACCTACAATAACCTAAAGACATATTAGCTTAATAAAACATTGCACACCAGGGGAAGTAAAAATATGTCAGTTACAGGTTCTGCCTACAGGAGAAGCAATTCAAAATGGAACATACTGAGACAGAACAACATTTGATTTGACTTACGCCAAAGGATCTGAAAAGAGTTTTTCTCTCAAGAAATGGGAACATTTATTTCTGATGCCTGATTAATGAAAAAGTCACTATAGAGACAAAAACCCCTTAGTTTGAGAAATTTAATAAATAGATACATAAAATATGAGAAAAATAATACACACACACATATATGTAGGTCTGTATATATGTGTGTGTGTACATATATGTATATGTGTATGTGTGTGTGTGTGTATATATATATATATATATATATAATATAACCTTCAATTTACCTTTATTTCCAAAAATATAATGAAAGACATGATTGAAATTAGACCATGAAGTCAGCCACTTTGTGGGCTAGACTGACTCTGAACAATTTATTCAAGTTACAAGCATGATTTGTTTAAAATACTTTCCTTTCCCCAGTGAATTGCCTTGCCAAAAATTTGTTGATCATATATAGGTAGATCTAGGTATGGAGTCTATTATATTTGTCTACCCTAACACAAATACAAAACTTTCTTGACCTCTGTAGCTATTTGGTGAGCCTTGAAATCAGATAGTGTGCATCTTCCATTCTTTTCTGTGTAATATATTTTCTATGTGTATCCTGTTTTTTATATATTCTATTCATCCTTTAAAATAAATAACACTGGGTTTGTCAATTTTCATTATTTTATTCTCTTTCATTGATTTTTCTTTTTACTATGTATCCCATACTTCCTCCTACTTAATTTTGGATTTAATTTCTTGTTTATTTTCCAGCATCTTAAGGTCAGAACTTAGATTATGAATGTTACATAGGTTAGAATTGTATTACAGCTGGATTGGAACAGCTTTAAGCTTATCTCCAGCAGTACCTGGATACTTGGTTTAGACTGTCAAGGCTATATACTAACTAACCGACTAACTATTCAACTATGATGTGCTGGGTAAAGTTCAAAACTTTCCTGTTGATACCCGGTGTCAATTTGGTGCTGTCTTTCAAACGGTCTAACTGCTTTGTAAGCCTGGCTTGACTACATAGCTAGAGAGGCATAAAAGGCCCCTTTGGGAAAGTCTGTATTGAACTCTCCCAAAACCAATATTCATCACAGATATTTTGACAGTTTAATCTAGAGATTAAATACCTCATGTTTTTATTAAACACAGTTATATACTTCCGCAAATGTTGCCACATCACTCACATATGATCACTGGAGATACAGACCCTCATTCTTCTTTTGACTTCTGTTTTCTTCATTTTAATTTTCTTCATTTTTACTGACAAACGATTTTAAAAATATTTGCATACATTCCTTGCTTTGAAAAAAAAGAGGGTTTTACCATCTAACTTTTTGTAAATTTGCATATCCTATAGATTTTCTGTCTCAAAACAATTTGTCAAATTTAAATATGCTAAAATTTGATCCTAAAAATGTTTTAAATAATAATACTATGAATAAATTTAGTAACTTTCTTCTAAATTTTATGACAAACTGGTTTTCTACCTTGTAAAATATATCAATTCCAAGGCTGAGCTGAGATTCTTTTCCCCAGCAAATTATTATATTAATAGTAAAATAAGTATGAATTAATCAGGTTTCAAATATTGATGGATATATTCATACTCCAAATATCAGCAGCACACAATATACCTCTGTAAGAAACCTGCACATGTACCCTCTGATTCAAAAATAAAAATTGAAAAGTAAAACAAATCCAACATATTTGAAAATATTAAAAATATTTTTATCCCAAGGTTATGGGCACTCTAAACTTTTACTAAAGTATACTTCTGTTTCTTTTGTAGATAAATGGACTAAAGAAAGTTAAAAATGACAGACTCCACTATATTTCAGCTCCCAACCTTTTAGAGTTGCTCTTCTCTCTTTTTGAATCTCATGAACAGGTAAGACAATGAACACTCCTTCATTCTAATCTGAAAGAAGAAATAGGTGTTGTTTCCAATGTCTACTTCAAGTATAGGCCTTTGAAGTCTTTATAGGTACTCTTCCAAGGACCTGACCTCAGGATCAAAAGATTAAAGGAAAAAATAAAGCAAAGAAACTCTGTTCCCCCCATATTTTGTAGAAATGGCATTGCCTGTTTGAGGTCAAAATGTCTTATTTTTACTTCTTTGCTTTTGTCTTTTTTTCCCTCAATTATTGTGTGTTCTATTCTGTACAGATCAACATATGAAATATTTACATGTGATTTTTTTTTGTCAGGGACATGTTTTATGCTTGGGATACAAAAGTGTATAAAACAGGATAGTCAATTTTATTCTTCAAGGGTAATGTGTTTACCATTTGGGAGGTTATATATGAATAGGGATAGTTAAACACATATTCTTGGAATAAGGCAAAACCAGGTTTGATCTAAGTTTTATCTTAGACTTATTTACTTACTAATAAAGTATCTGTGATACTTTAAGCGTTTACATATTGGAGCATAATTTTTTGTCTATTTTAAGGGACAAAATAATCTTCTATTAAAAGATCATGCTAAATTTATATTATATTATATTATATAGAAAAAGTAGATAAATTTTTTTTGTCAAATGCCTGGCATATAATCAGTGGTCAGTAATTGTGTGTGCGTGTGTGTGTGTGTGTGTGTGTGTATATATATATAGTATATATAGTAATAGTATATATTACATAGTATATAGTATATAATTTGATTACCTTAGCAGAGTAAGTACAAGTAATATATTCACTGGGAGAATAATTTAAATGAATGTCAAGCCCTCTGCCTGAAAAGACCTAAGGTAGGAGGTCACAGGTTCTCTATAAGCACATGATCTAGCTTCAGCACTCAAAAAACTAGCATTGTCTTCAAGCAAATTCAAGCTATTTATGGAGAAATAGGGCAGAAGTATATGCACACATGACATGGTGCAGACTGTCTGCCATACGAAGGAAGTAATGATGTCTTTCATATTCATAAATGTATATTTAAGGTTGGAACTCATTCTTGATAGCACTGTTTTGAGCTAATCTGTAAAGTGAAGCTTGTACCATTCCTTTCAGCTTTTTCTAAACACTTTAAATTGATTTTTTAAAGAGGGATGCATTTTAAATGCATTTTAAGACTATTATTTTTTATTGTAGTATAATTTATATACTATGAAATGTTTAAATCTTAAGTGTAACATTTAATCAGATTTGATGACAGAATATCAAGACAGAGTATCTTTCCATCACCATGCAGTGTTCCCATGGGCACTTTTCCAGTCAAGGCAGATGAGGGCCCTGTGAAAAAGAAACCCTTAAAATCTCATTTCTCTTTGTTTGAGAGTTCTGGTTGCTCCACATATTCTAGAAATAGTGTTGTCAATTATTTTTTTATTTTTTCCATTATAGTGGGTATCCAGTAATATCTCATTTTGGTTTAATTTGCTTTTCTATGATAACTCATGAGGTGAGTTC
Organism: Homo sapiens; assembly: GCF_000001405.40. Taxonomy (NCBI): domain Eukaryota; kingdom Metazoa; phylum Chordata; class Mammalia; order Primates; family Hominidae; genus Homo; species Homo sapiens. The sequence continues at coordinate 30,703,866 of NC_000009.12, read as the reverse complement.
AGGTTACTGAGGTTGAGTTTATGGCTTCCACATTTCTATGAATTTTTTTATTTGTTTTATTTACCATTGAGAGAGGCATCTGAAAGTCTTCAAATATGATTTGGAGATTTGTCTCTAGTTCCCTATGATTTTGTTAAATCCCTTGTCTATATGTGGGAACTTTGTTATAGGGTGCATATACATTTGGCATTATGTTTTCTTCATTATCAAACTATTCCTTGATTGCAGAATGGTGGGCTTTTTAGCTCTGATAATACTCTTTACCTTGAACTTTATTTTGTCTGTTATTAGCAGGTCACACTAGCTTCCTGCTGCTTAGTGTTCATGCTGTAATTTTCTTCCATCCTTTTATTTTCAACTTATTTGTACCTCATACACACATAATTAATCTTGTTTTATATCTATTATTATGCTATCCCTCTTAATTAGAGCCTTTGATGCATCTATTTTAATTATTGATATGTTTGGATTTTTTATAATTTACTTCTTTCTCTAGTTGACAAGTAAAAATTGTATATATTTATCATGTACAGCATGATGTTTTAAAGTATGTGTACATGGTAAAATGGCTAAATTGAGCTAATTATGAGTTACCTCATCATTAACATTTTTTGTAGCAAGAACACTTAAAATCTATTCTCTTACCATTTTTAAGATTACAACACGTTCTTATTAACAATAGTCATCTTATTTATAATACATGTCTTGAAGTTGTTTCTATCTACCTAAAATTTCATTTCCTTTGATCAACATTTTTCTAAACTTTCTCATGCTCCCCTTCCCACACTAGCCTCTAGTAGCTATCATTTTAGTCTCTATCTCTATGAGTTAAAATCTACTCTCTTGATGTTTAATTTCTACACTTCTTATACACTCCTTTTCCTCAGTTCCAAATTTTGTGTCTTATTTTTGACAAATTACTTATGTTTCATACCCTTTTATTTTATTCATACATTTTAAACTATTATTTCTTCTCATTTTATTGGTTTCTTTGGTATTTACAAAATAAATTTTTAACTATCATAGTCTACATCTAAAATTATCAAAATTCACAAATAATTTAAAACTTCATTATAAGGCATTTCCAATTTATGAACTTCATAACAATGAAGGGATTATCTGCTCATTCACTATGTTCTTATTTCTATAGGTTTTTCTTCTAGAAAAGCTGTAAATTTTTTTATATTCTTTATACTTTAAGCAGCTAATAGTCTCTACAGAAAATGTTGTCATTCTTTGGATTTCAGTTTACTGGGTTACCTTGTGACCTCAGTTCTCTCATAGGCTCAAAAAATCTAATTTTATAATTTATCTACCTTGATATTACTGCTAGATTGGAAGTAAAATTCTTTTGTGGCTTTTGTATAAGTGGCATATACTAAAGATCTACTTAATTCCCCCAATTTTTAAAAATTTAAAAAAATTTTTAAATTTTTTGCACTTATATTGTGGGTGAGGCATTGTGCTGAGGAAAAAGACACAGGAGTAAGACAGAGCGCTGTCCTAAAAAAAATGTATATTCTCATGTGAAAGGCAGATGTGACTACAAATAACAGAAGATTAGAATGGTATTGGCTCTTCTCACAGTCTTCTTTGAAGATTGACTTAGTGCTTTTAGAAAAAAATTACTGGTAATTGTTTTACATATAAAATATTTATATTGTACTTATAATAGTATGTGCTGCTTGAGAATGTATTTCAACATACATGATCTCACACTTCTGCACTCTTCTCCAAAAATAGCATAATTTGCTTATTTAGTGCTTCAATGTTTTCATAGTAAGTCCCTATATAGTACCTCAGTTGATTCTCCAAAAACTTTGTGAAGTCACATTCAAAGTAACTTGGTAGAATAATAAAAGAGAACATTTTATAAATAGGAGAGGGATGGATACAATTTGATATATAGTTTTTTGAGATGGCAAAGTGGCCGTTAGGTATATGTCAGTATGAGAAAAGCATGCTGTGCTTTACAGTCTAAGTGCCTTAAAATTTGGGGAAAGAGGCCAACCATTCTAGGGTAGAAAAAAAACTTTAGTTGATGAGTAGAATTCTTTTCAGAGTGTCTCAGTCTTTGCCTGCATTAAAACTGTTCTGGATAAAGGTAGCTTGTGTTAAAAGAAAAACTTCAGCCAAATTAAATTTGCAAGCGTTTTATTGAGCAAAGAATGATTTGCAAATCAGGCAACTTCCCAAGCCGGAGTAGGCTCAGAGACTCCAGCGCAGTCCCATGGTGGAAGAGCATTTATGGAGAGAAAAAGGAAAGTGACCTACAGAAAATGAAAGTGAGTTGCACAAACAGCCAGATAGGTTACAGCTTGGCATTTGTCTTAATTGAACACGGTTAGCATTTGGCCACATTTGATTGGCCAAAACTCAGTGATTGGCACAAGAATAGATTACAGTCTGTTTACACTTCCATTTATGCTATAGTTCACGATGTACAGACAAACATTTAGGCCAAACTTAAAAAATGTAAGTAGGCAGCTTTAGGATAAACTTGATTTAAAGACTCCCTCCTTTTTGTCATCCTGTCAATTTTGAGAGATTTTCCAAAACTTTAGTCATTGATGGCATTATCACCATTATAAATATATTTATTTGCTCTTGAATATCATAAAATTCGTAAGGAATCAAAAAAAGCTTGAATCCCAAAACAATCCTAAGCAAAAAGAACAAAGCCTGAGGCATTATACTACCCAACTTTAAACTATATGACAAGGCCACAGCAACCAAAACAGCATGGTACTGGTACAAAAATGTACACATAGACTAATGGAACAGGATAGAGACCCCAGAAATAAAGCCATATGCCTACAATCACCCGATTTCTGACCAAAACAATATCAAACAGTATGGGGAAGGACTACCTAGTCAATAACTGGTGCTGGGATAAGTGGCTAGCAATATGTAGAAGATTAATGTTGGGCTCTTTTCTTTCACCTTATTCAATAATTTGCTCAGGATGGATTTAACATTTAAATGTAAAACCTAAAACAATAAAAATCCCTGGGAGAAAACCAGTAAATGCCATTCTAAACATTGGCCATGACAAAGAATTTACGACTAAGTCCACCAAATCAATTGTAAAACAGAAATACACAAATAGGACCTAATTAAATTCAAGAGCTTCTGAACAACAACGAAAAAAGAAACTATTAACAGAGTGAACAGAAAACCTACAGAATGGGGGAAAATATCCACAAACTAATCATCTAACAAAGATCTAATATCCAGGATCTTTAAGAAATTTAAAGTATTCATGAAACAAAAAACAACCCTATTAAAAATATGGAAAAGAACATAAACAGAACTTTTTCAAAAAAAAAAAGACATACATATAGCCAACAAATATATTTAAAAATGCCCATCATCACTAATCATTAGAGAAATGCAAATCAAAACAATACTGAGATACCATATCACACCAGTCAGAATGACTATTAATAAAAAATCAAAAAACAACAGATGCTGGCAAAGTTGTGAAGAAACGGGAACATTTATACATTGCTAGTGTGAATGGTACACTACATATTGCTAGTTCATCCACCATAGAAAGCAGTGCAGAAATTTCCCCAAATACTTAAAACTGCCATTTGATTCAGCAATCCCACTACTGGATATATACCCAAAGGAAAATAAATTGTTTAACCGAAAAGATACATGCACTCTCATGTTCATTGCAGTGCTGTTCACAATAGCAAAGACATAGATTCAACCAAGATGCCCACCAATTGTGGAATAGGAAAGAAAATGTGGTACATAGACACCATGAAATACTACACAGCCGTAAAAAAAGAATAAAATTGTGTCCTTTACAGCAACATGAATGCAGCTGGAGGCCATTATCCCAAGCAAACTAATACAGAAACAGAGAACCAAATATCACATGATCTCACTTAAAAGTGGGAGCTAAACATTAAATACACATGGAAACCAAGATGAGAACAATAGACACTGGGGACTACTTGAGAGGGTAGAATGAGAGAAGCAGCTGTGTTGGAAGGCTACCTATGGGGTACTATGTTCACTACGTGGGTGACTGGATCACTGGTACACCAAGCTTCAGCAACACACAATTTATCCATGTAATAAACCTGCACCTGTACCCAAGGAAATTAAAAGTAGAAGAAAAAAAATCACATTGTATATTTAAAAAACTCTACGAAGTGCTATAAAAGATTATTATTGTTATTATTATTATTGAGACAGAGTCTTGCTCTGTCGCCAGGCTGGAGTGCAATGGCGTGATCTCGGCTCATTGCAACCTCTGCCTCCCGGGTTCAAGCCATTCTCCTGCTTCAGCCTCTTGAGTAGCTGGGATTACAGGTGTCCGCCACCACGCCCGGCTAATTTTTTTGTATTTTTAGTATTTTAGACAGGGTTTCACCATATTGTCTAGGCTAGTCTCAAACTCCTGAGCTCAGGCAATACACCCACCTCAGCCTCCCAAAGTGCTAGGATTACAGGCGTGAGCCACTGCGCCCAGCCTATAAAAGATTATTTAATAAAAATGCCATGTTATGTACCAGAGGTGGATGGAGAAACTCCTTGAGGATACTCAATGTTAAATGACGGCACCATTAACAACTGCTTGGACTTTAAATCACATGTATGTTACTGTAAAATGTTAACATAATAATTTCATATTCTCTCTCTCTCTCTCTCTCTGTCTCTCCTTGTCTACCTTCTGCATATACACATTCACATTCAATAATACCAGAAGAGTAATTTCTAACTTTCTATACAAGTTCTGGTGATTCAACTTTTTAATATAAATTAGCATTTCTTTGGCGGTATGTAGCTACATTTCTCTAACTATAGAAAATAGAAATAGATTCATCAATTACAAATATTTTACTATGCTTTAAATTACTGCTTTACATGTCGTCTTACAATGCTTTAAACTAAAAAATAATCATCAGCATGATTGTTCTCATAGTTCACAAACTACAGATTCTAAAAACTATTATCCTATCTACATAATACATTATTAGTAATTCCAAGCACCATCAATCTAATTAATTTTCTCTATGACTTTTTTCTCACCTGAACATAGCAAAATCCATTGAATTTTTCTTCTAGAATCAGCAACTCTGAGCTTTTCATCCAAGTATTTTGCATGAGATTGTGTATTTAGATAATTCACCACTCATATTTTGTCTTATTTCACAGAGAAATTTTTAACAACAATTAATATAATACTCATTTTTCTTTATAATGACTATCCTATGAGACTAAGTTTTTAAACGAATCGTGAAAACCTTCATGATAATAAAGCCACGTCAACTAAATTAACCTAGATGATCGTCATCAGAAAAAATTGACTTCTAATGGGGTAATATAATGTTGTTCCTTAAGCCCTTCCTATTTAATTTTTATCTGAGAAATTTAGAATAATTTGTTAATTAAACTTACACATTCTTCGCTATTGTGAACACTAGGAAGCCATCTATCTATAATAATCTTTTAGTACTATTTTTCAGTGAAGACTCCAATAATCTGCTAAAGCTTTTATTCATTTACAGTCATTTAGGCTATCTAAATTGTATTTTCATCAGTCTTACACTTAAGCATTTAAATCAATATTTTTAGAAATTCAAACTATTATACATTTAGTAAATATTATGAGGGCGAGATTGTTTTAACACGTTTTCTTGTGCCTATCAGGATGTAGGTAAGCTCAAAAGTATGTGGACAATGCTATGGTATATTGCTTTAGGCAATAAGGAGGATTACAAGTCCCACACATTAGAGATGAATTTCAAAAAAAGATTTCTTCATGCCAGTTCTGTGCACAGATATGCTAGATTACATAAGTAGATACATTTTACCTCAAAAATATCTTATCTGAATTATACAAAATTCTCTTCACATCTGAAAAAGCTATGAGATTTAGAACCAACATTCTACACATAAAAAAAAATCTACTATGATTTGAATGTGAATGTGTCAATAGAATTTCATGTGTTGGAATAGTAATTCCCAAATTTATATGTTGATAAGAGGTAGGGCTTTTGGAAGTGATATGGTTTAGATTTGTGTCCTCTCTCAAATCTCATGTCCAGTTGTAATGCTCAGTGTTAGAGGAGGGGCCTGGTGGAAGGTGATTGGATCACGGGGGCAGATTTCTTCCTTGCTGTTCTCATTGTAATGAGTGAGTTCTCACAACACCTGGCTATTTAAAAGTGTATGGCACTTTTCCCTTCTCTCTCTACCTCCTGCGCTGGCTATTTAAGACATGCCTGCTTTTCCTTCGACTTCTGCCATAATTGGAAGCTTCCTGAGGCCTCGGCAGCCATGTTTCCTGTACAATCTGTGAAATCGTGAGCCAATTAAACCTTTTTTCTTTATGAATTATCCAGTTTCAGGCATTTATTCACAGCAGTGCAATAATGGACTAACGCAGAAAAATGTACTGCATGAGCTCATATGCGGAATCTAAAAAATATGTAACTCTTAGAAGCAGAGTGGAATGGCGGTTATCAGTGGCTGAAGGAAGGGTATAGGGAGATGTTGATCAAAGGATAGAAGGTTTCAGTTACTCAAGATGATTAAGTTCTTAAATATTATATAGTGTAGTGATTATATTAAATAATAATACATTTTATACTTGAAAATTGCTAATAGAGAATAACTTTCAAATTCTCCCCACAAAAATTGATAAGCTTGTGAGGTGATAGGTGAATTACCTTGCTTTTGAATATTTCATAATCTATAAATGTATGAAAACATGTTATATACCTTAAATATATAAAATTTTTATTTTATATATATGCCTTAATAAACTGAAAAAAGAAACTAAGACTATAGTTTGAAAGCAGATTGTTAAAATAGCACTAACGGGAGCTTAACAATTGGATTCATCCCTATTTCCACATAATTTCTAGAGAAAAGGAAATACATCACAGCCGTCTTTGATGATAACATTGCTCCCTCTCAGTTCTATGGCATTAGAAACTTTGGAGCTACTTTTTGAGAAGATGAAATCTGCTGAGACTTGTCAACCTCCACACTCTGTTAACTTTATCATTTTGAGAAGTGTTAACAAAATAAAATTCATTTGTTTACTTCCTACTTTTGGGGAAAAAATCAGCATTTCTAGAAATCATCTTATTACACAATTTCCTTGTTTTCAATGATCTTATTTCAGTTTAATTTAAAAATACTGATGATTGAATATATAACGGATACCTAAGACGAAGCAAAGAATATAAGCAAACAAACACCAACAATAATACACAAAGAACACACACACACACACACACACACACACACACAATTCACTTTAGATATAATACTTTAAGTTTTAGATATAAGTATTTCACAATAATTTGCATTGCTATGGAATTGGGGCAGTAAAAATATGTTATACCTTCAATGCGTAATTAATGCAAAATAATAAGGGTTATATCCCTTTCACAGACAGGTGAGCCATATAAAGTATTAAAAGGTGAGGTTCAGAGTATTTGGACTACTATCGGTAATTGAATTCTGGCTCTCAATTTCAACAACTTTCTACACTATATCTAAATTTGACTAAGACATGTATGTAAAGGCTGTATGATTAATAGTAAAATAATACAATCTGCTCCTGGGCATAAAGTTTGTGTGATAAAGGATGGCTTGTAGGATTTTTTTGTAATTAAATTTTATGTGCATACTGGAATTCTCAAAGTAATGTTGTGCTCTTAATATCTTGAAAAGGGATTTTATCCATTTTAGAGACAGAGTTTATCTGCTTCAAAGGGTCATTTTTTATTTTCAGACAATATTGTTCCAAGAAATATTTGATAATGGGATTTCTCTTGATAAGTATTTAAAGATATTACTAATGTTTTTTGAAAGTTTTTTTAAATACTGACGTTTTTGTTAGAGTTATTAGATGTATTTGTGTATTTTCTTTCATTTATCAGTTGTAGAGTAGACACAGTTGATCCCCTTAGACATTATATGTCAAAATATCCCATTTAGAATGAAGTTCCACTACTGGTTCTTCATTTTATGTAGTTTACTAATATATATCTTCTAAGCTCTGTTCATTTAAGTGAGAGGTCATCAATTAGAAGCATGCAGTGGTGAAGCCAGGCTTGGGGGATTGTCAGAGAAGAGAAATGTCACTATCAGCTTGGTATTTATTATTTAAATTGCTTTGCTAGGGCCCCTGACAAGCTTATTCTGAATCTGCAGGTATGTGGATATAATAAAGAAGCAAAACGTCATTATCTTCAATAGGCAACAGCAAACTTTTTGTTCAAAGTCCAGATAGTAAATATTTCAGGCTTGTGGTCCATATAGTCTCTTGCAATTACTCTACTCTGCTACTATAACACAAAGGTATTTGTAGTTGGCACATAAATGAATGAGCAATGTGGGTTGTGTTTCTTAAACCATGTTCTACTTATCTTTTCTATCTTCAGCTGGCAGTATCTGATATGTGATTTCTGTTTAATCAACATTTATTGGATTAAATTGGATGCAATGGAATTGCATTGAACTGGAATACAAAATGTTTCATGTAAAAATAATCTACTTAAATCACTTTATTTTTCAAATAAAGAAATGAAAGCCCAAATAAGTGAATTACTTGTATTCAAATACTGTGTGAAAGAAACTATTATAATTTGCAACAAAAATGTTTTATTTCATCCCAGTATATTTGACTTATCAGAAAACCATCTCAAGATATTACTGGACAAATAATACAATTTCCTGAAAGGACTTGAACTGTTTGTTAAATGATGCTTCCTTTTTTTTTTGTTATTGACATTGGAGTTGAGCCTTGAACAACCTGAAAGTTAGAGGTCCAGAAGGTTAAACAGTCAAAAATCCACATATAACTGTTGATTCCCCAAAACTTAACTATTAATAGCCTATTGTTGACTGGAAGCCTTACTGATAACATAGTAAATTAACACATATTTTGTTTGTTATATGTATTCCATACTGCATCCTTACAATAAAGTAAGCTAGAGATCAGAAAATATTATTCAGATAATCATAAGAAAGAGAAAATACATTTACTATTCATTAAGTGGAAATGAACCATCATAAATGTCATTACCTTCATTGTCTTCACATTGAATAAGCTGAGGAGGATGAAGGAGAGGAGGGCTTGGCAGGAGCAGAACAGGTGGAGGAGGTGGCATGGGAGGCAGGAGAGGCAGGTGCATTCTATGCAACTTGTATTGAAAAAAATCCACATGTAAGCAGACCCAGGCAGCTCAAATTTGTGTTGTTCAAGGGTCAACTGTATATCTACGTAATTCTCATTGTATGTGAGAACACCATGTGCTGAGGAAAGCATATTTGAAATTAAATGTAAAGGAATAAACCTAACTGAAAAGGCATGGTGAAGGAAATGCTAAAATTTACTATTTCAATATAAATTTTAATAATTATTCTAAAATACACAAAATTTGGAAAATTATGAAATACGTGTGTACACATTTAATTAATTCATCCATTTATTTGTTGGTGTCCAGTAAGCAAATCTATTTGTGTCTATTATGTTTGATGTCATATTTCAAGCATCACGGTTATAATTGTGAATAAAAGAGGTGCAGGCCTTTGTCCTCATAGAATTAATAGTTTATCGATAAAAAATACAAAGTTACTATTTGGTTGCTTATGTGCTAACTTGATAAACATTTGAATGCCGCCTTTTTATTTGTATTGATAACATAATGAGTTTTATAAGAATATTGAACATTAAATAATTTAAAGCATAGAATAAAGAGCATGGGCATGCACACATATAAATTTGTGCTTTATAAAATGATTATTACAAGGATCTCATATATAGGGTTCCATGCATAACATGTTGATGTTTTTAATATAAATTATTATGCATACTATTTTATTTGCTTTTAAATTTATAAAATCAAGTATTTGAAGCATGAAAAATAAAATAAATAGAAAATGTTTCTATTTATTTCTGTAACTATCAATCTTTCTGTTACCTGGCTGCTTTGATAGTAGTAAACAAAATGATTTATGTTTTCATGTTTATTTTGTATAATCTCAAGATGCATATTTACCAATTTCCTTTTTGAAATCTATTGTGATGATTCAGTGGTATGTTGTCTACTAAGAGTTTGACCCTTAATTTCACATCATCTGCAAAACATAGCTGCAGAAATTGGGTTTCCATTAAGAAATTGGAGAAATTAAATCCTTTGTTGAAACATTTGTATAATGTTTGATATTGGTCTATAAATTTCTTGGTATGACAACTGACACATAGTGACAGAAAAATAAATTTATTTTTACTTGTCCTTATGTTATTAAAAACAGAATTTAACACATAATGATTTGCTAATTAAATGGGATCATCTATGCCCACACTCACATGGCACCCTAAGTACTGAATAAATGAAGTTTCCCTTGTTTGTTTATTCATAAAATCTCTATGTAATGTATTATGCTGCATTTGAGTCTTCCTCAGTGTTTAACAATTTATTTCTAGCTATTTTTCTAATATATTAATGAAAAGTTTTATATTTAATGCACTTACCAGATACAAAGAGAGCTTTTCCCTTCAAAATAGGTCATTCCATTCCTCACCATTCCTATTGATGTTATTTCTGGTTGTGTAGTTTCTCAAACACTGTTTAGTTTCTACACAGTCTTTTTGGATCAGACCAACTTCTAAAAAGGAAGCTCAGCTTCTCATAAGGAAGCTCATGACTATATGAAAATTCAATCTACACACACAATTAGGAGTTTTAAATTCTCCAATCATGTGAGTTTTCAGAATTTGACTACCTTAATTTTGAATTAAACATTGAAAATATTTCACGACTTGACACATAATAGGTTTAAATCTAGTGACCTTTATTATATTTCCTCAGAGTTATAAATTATTTTATGACAGAGAGATATAATTTAATTATTACATTTTATCTTGTATACTATATACATGATACATATTAAACAAATTTTCATTTAATCAAATATTAATTTTTTTATTCATACCACATATTATGACTTTGTGGAACATAAAAGATAAGTATGCCCCATAAAGAGTTCCATAGTTTTACAATAATGCATGGATTTCAACATACAATTAAACGCTTATAGTGAAGTAATTTATGGCAGCTATATAGTGACTAGCTCTGTGCCATCTATCGATCCATTCTTTCAAGGATCCGTTTTTTTTGGTGGTCCCATAGAGGATGGGACTGACCTTTACCCAAATTTTGTTTGATGTTGAGATGGACACATGCCAAGATGTTATAAAAAGATGTGTTACTCACATATTGAGGCTTTTTGATAGCAGAGAAGACTCCTATGTTAGTGAAAAAATGACTTCAACAAAGGAAAGAGCAAGTGGCTTGTGTGTGTGTGTGTGTGTCTGTGTGTGTGTGTGTGTGTGTAACAGATAGTGGGCCCTGAGTCAGAGTTGTGACACACTGGTTGGGTTTGTCTTGCTTGAATGTCCTCGTTGGTTTCAAGGGAGTGAGTATCTGGCCTTTCTTAACAACTTGTCCAGATGTGAGACAAAAGGGAAACAACAAGATATAAAATTTATTGGGAGTCAAACATCCAAAATTAAGTTACATTATTTTCTACCCTTGATGTTTAAATTTGAACTTATTTAAGTAAGGCATTGAAGCACACAGCTTGAAACCAGTAAGAAAGGTTAATGTCCTGTTGAATGCCACGTAATGGAGCCAATCATTTGGCATTTTGTGAAGGAGAATGTGTGTCTTGGTCACTATAAATGATGTCTTGAACTTTGAAGGGAATAGTTTCTTGTCAATGACTTGTGCTGTGGCTTTAGAATGTGCAGAGATGTGTGTGGCTTTAAATTATATTTTTGGCTATCTGTTAGGGCAAGAAATTACCAGAGTTCTTTACCCTAAAGGAGCAACTTGAATAAAGAATTGTTGCCATTGGTTGGACCAGAACTCAGGCTATTAGCAATGGCCCAAGAGTCTATAAAATGTGTAGATGGAGCCTATTGTTGGCCAGGGAATCCTCTAACACTAAGGCAACTGCCTGAAATTTAGCCAATACTTCTGACCCTTGGGTATTACCCTTAATGAGAGATATCCTGGTTAGGAGATGGAAGGCAGCAGCTCTCCAATGGCTTTCATCATGCACGATGATATCATTGTCATACATACAGTATGCAGGACTCCATTTTCTGTCCACTTAGTTTATCCCAAGTTGTTCTCCAGTTGAATGACAGGCCTGAAAGAGGTGTGGCCTTCTATTGTTTCACTGCATCTAGCAAGGGAAGCAATTTCTAATTCTAGGTGGGATGAATATTCCAGAGGTCTTAGATTCTAGTCTATCATTTAAAGTACCACTTTCTCTTCCATAGCACATGAAAATCTTTCATGCTTTGGCATATTATGGGATTAAATTCAGAAAGTTTTTTTTTTTAAATCTGCCACAGTTGCTGCCTCCATGACTCAGTCATAGTGGGCAGCCAGGTATGGAAAGTCATAGTCTCAAGGCATGTAATAGTATCCATTCCCAGAAGAACCCAGCAAGCAGCTATCAGATAATGCTCTAATGGTATGTAGCGCAGGGCCAAGAAGGTCAGTTTTTGTATCAGAAGTCCATTGTTGGAAAAGAGATTCCAGCAGACATGAAAGGAAATCACTAAAGCCTCTACAAGAAAAAACTCTGAGGGACAGAGGAAGTCTAACAGGAATGTCTGTTGTATTGCAATTTGGACAGATTCTGGAGTTTTCTTTTTAGTAGCAGTCTCATTTTAAAATGACTGAGTTAGAAATATTAGCATAAATAAGCTTAAATGTAATTCCTAAATGGGGACTAGGTTGTCTCCAGAAAGCAAATGACTTACATAATATTGGGCTTGTTTAAATGTTGTGAGTTCTAAGGGGGTAAATAGTTATTTCTCACATATTTCTTTTTTCTTTTTTTTTTTTTTTGGTTTTGGCCAAACTTTTTATTTAGTATTCTGTAGTTGTTTAACACACACTTAAATGGTCTTATTGGGGGAGGGGGAAAGGGAGGTTCTTGCAGATTCCCAAGGAAATGTCAGAAAGGCAAAATGGCCAGCATCATCCATTTGCTTTTTTGGGTTTACTGGGTGAATAGCACTTTCCTTACAAAGGCATGTGATTTCAGGTTTTTCATACTGAAAACATTGAGATTTCAGTTGGAAGACACCCTGAAATCTTATGAGTAGCATACCCCAACCACCCTCTAATAGCTAGCTTGTTTGTATAGGTAGAATGATTCATCTCTCCATTTTAGATGGCTAGATGTTTTGTGGAAGATCTTAGAATTGCCTGCCTCATTTACTGGGAAAAATCAGATAGGAAGTGGCCTTTAGGGATACTTTTACTTGGAAAGTTACAACACCAGTACAAGTCTTAACACATTTAACGTTTGCTTGTTGAAAAGCAATGCAAAAGTCAAAATAAAATTAAACATGTTTTACTTTTCTCCTCACAAGAACATAAAAATTATGGAGGGGAACTTAACAGGGAATTTTTAAAAAGTAACACAATTTTTCCTTTTAGTAGTCCTTGGGTAGTTATGATAGAATAGCTTCCACTTTTTGTTTCTTTGAACTGGGATTTTGGTCCAAAGTTTTGTTTGTTTCTAGTATCTGCTTCTACCTCCCCCTCTATCAGATCGGCTTCCTCCACAGCCACCACCGCTTGGTGCTCCGCACTTGAACTGCTGTAGGAATCACGTGGAGGAGGGTATCCTCTTTCCATAGAAGGGGTAAGCCCTCTTTCTTGTCTGCCAACCCGATCACGACCACTTGAGTAGAGATCACTTCGGCTGCTTGAGTAACTGTCTCGACTTCCACCATATCCGTCACATGAGCTGCTGTAATCATCATAGCGACTGCTTCCACCATAAGATGGTGGGGGCCCTCGTGTAGGTGGAGCACTACGTGAGTTACCATAACTCTCATATGAATCTCTGTAGGAACCTCCACCTGGATGATCTGAATAGTCATGATCACGACCATATCTATCTCTATCGCTATAGCCTCTTTATGGATAGTCAACACGTGAACTGGAATGACCATAATCACGGTAAGTATAATCTCGTGGTGGTGGTGCATAAGCTCTAGTATCATGAGAACTTGGGTAATCTCTGCTTGAATAGCTGTCTTTAGTAGAATACCCATCATCTCTTGGGGACAAATAATCATTTCTACAAGAGGGCAGCAGTTCCCTTCGAGGTGGACCTCCGTAACTATCTCTTCCACGTGATACAGGAGCTCTTCCTCCCATTTCACTGCTACTGCGAACTGGTCCTGAAGGTGCAGATCTCTTAGAAGGAGGACTCCCACTTCTTGGTGGTGGTCCTCTTTTTACTGGATGTGGTCCCCTGGAAGAACTCATGTTAAAATTCATGGAATATCCACCGTCATCCATGTGTCCTCCCCGTGAGGGAGGTCCCCTTGTTCCTCCACTTCCTCCTCTTCCACCTCTAAGACCTCTTGGAGGGCCTCTACTTCTTGGAGGTGGAGGCGGTCCACGTCTACCACTTTCAAATGATGGTTTGTTGGCTTGTTCCACCTCGATGGCTTTTCCATCTAATGACTTTCCATTCATGTCTCTGGCTGCATCCTTAGCATCTGCTGGGCTTTCAAAGGTGACAAAAGCAAATCCTCCTGATTTGTTGGTTTCATGGTCTTTCACCAAGAGTACTTCCACTATTCGTCCATATTTGCCAAATACTGCTTCAAGAGCTTTCTCATTTGTTTCCGTGTTAAGCCCACCAGTGAACGGCTTTCCTGGGCAATCTGCTTCAACCATTTTTTTTTTTTTTTTTTGCCGGTGAGTCGGAGGGGTGACAATGGGTTCAAGCTCCAATGAGCTCGCCGATAGGGGCTTCCTAACAGCTCAGCACCAGTGGCGGCTGCCGGGTCCGAGGACCGAACCGTGAAGCCGCTAGCACTACTGCACAACGAAGTCTCCTATATTTCTTAAAAGTGTCAAGAAATAATTTGACCAAATAAAGCCTAGAAATGTTTATTGAGGTGGCAGGACCGTTTACTTTGGGTCAATGGTTCATCAGGTTTTCTTGTTTTGTGTGTGTGTGAGGGAGAGAGAGCTCCTTTTTGAGTGTTTTTATGTCCTGAAAAAGTGCATAAAATGCATCATATATTTATAAGAGTCTTCCTTCAGAAATTTCCAAATCTGTATCATTATAGTTACAGGCCTTTCCAGTGGCAAATGTTGCTTTATTGGGTTTATGAATTGAGCATAAATTAGCTCCCTGGCATGTTTATGAGCCGTGATACTCAAGGGGATTGGTGCCCCTATAAAAGATACTTGAGGGAACTTCCTTGCCCCTTTTTGCCCTTTCACCATGTGAGGACACAGCAACAAGGTGCCATCTTGGAAGCAGAAAACAAGACCTCACCAGAAACCAAATCTGCTGGATCCTTGATCTTGGACTTCCCAACCTCTAGAACTGTAAGCAAAAAAAAATCAGTAGTTTATTAATCACCCAGTCTAAGACATTTGTTATGGCAACCTAAATGGACTAAGGCAACATGTAAGGTAACACAATAACAGGTTTGATATGTTACATTTATAGTCCCAATTTTTAATCATACTGCGTTAAACTCTAAGTCAGCCATAGTTGCAAAAGGCACACGAGTATGACATTGAATAATTGTTCAGTTCATTCAGAAAAAAATAATTGAGATTGAAATTTATGTGAATTGACCAGGAAGTTGCATCAAAATTATCAAACAAATCCAAAATCTTAATTACTAGAGTCTTTATATCTCAAAAAAGTTTTTTCAATTAAAAATATTTCAGAATTTCAAAGTTAATGCCATCTTTGGCATTCTGCAGCTATTATTCCTTCATTCCAAGTATTCCAATTTTTTTCTGCAGTTTTCACTGCTTAAAAGTGTGAGTTATCAAATATTTTAATTCCTCCCCCAAAATTCTGATAATTACTAAATGTTCTTCCCATTGACATAATTTATGTCTGTCTCTCTTGATTATGGGCCTCTGTGAATTCATAATCAATAGAACATGGTAAAAGTAGGTTATTTCAATTTCTCAGTATCTTCTATTTCTGATATATAGGTACAATAACTGTTGAAGCTATTAATTACAATGTAAGTAGTCTTAATCCCCTTAGAGTATCATGCTGTGGGGGAAAGTTAAGCTAGCTACATGGACAAGTCATGTGGAGAGATGCTTGTCCAGCACTCAACCATTGTGTCATGTCAGCTAAGACATGAAAGCATATGTAAGTGTCTCCATAGTTTCCCGTCCATATTCTAAGTGACAGATTCTGGCTTAAATAAATATTTGCTGTTGTTTTAAGTCACCACGTGTTTTGTCTCTTATAAAACAATCAATACTGGAACCAAATTTGGTGCTTGCAATTGGTGTAGTACCATAAAAAATTCTAAAACACTGGCTTCAGACAATTTATTTTATTTCCAGCTTTGGGCTATCATGAATAAAGTGGTGTAGGAAGTAGGATTCTAAAATGCCTCCCTGTACAATATCCCCACCCATATTTCAGGGACTGTGATTATGATGAGATATTATCCTCAAGGTTTTGAAAGACTACATGGTAAAAGGAATTTAACACATATAATTAAAGTTACTAATCAGTTGATCTGGAGTTAACTAAAAGGAAAATTGTCTGGCTTTGCCTTATGTAGTCACATGCCCCCCCCCCTTTTTTTCTTTAAGTTCTGGGATACATGTGCTGAACTTTCAGGTTTGTTACATAGGTATACATGTGCCATGGTGGTTTGCTACACCTATCAATCAGTCATCTAGGTTTTAAGCCCCACATGCACTATGTATTGGTTCTAATGCTCTCATTTCCCTTCCCCCAACCCCCTGACAGTCCTCGGTGTGTGATATTCCCCTCCCTGTGTCCATATGTTCTCACTCTTCAACTCCCACTTATGAATGAGAACATGCGGTGTTTGGTTTTCTGTTCCTCTATTAGTTAGCTGAGGATGATGGTTTCTAGCTTCATCTATGTCCTTGCAAAGGACATGAACTCATTCGTTTTTATGGCTGCATAGTATTCCATGGTGCATATGTGCCACATTTTTTTATCCAGTCTATCATTGATGGGCATTTGGGTTGGTGCCAAGTCTTTGCTATTGTAAGTAGTGCTGCAGTAAACATATGTGTGTGTTTGCATGTGTCTTTTTTTTTCTTTTTTTGAGACAGTCTCACTTCGTCACCCAGGCTGGGATGCAGTGGCAAGATCTCGGCTCACTGCAAGCTCCACCTCTCGGGTTCATGCCATTCTCCTGCCTCAGCCTCCCGAGTAGCTGGGATTACAGGTGCCTGCCACCAAACCCAGCTATTTTTTTTTTTTAATTTTTAATAGATACGGGGCTTCATCATGTTAGCCAGGATGGTCTTGATCTCCTGACCTCGTGATCCACCCGCCTTGGTCTTCCAAACTGCTGGGATTACAACCGTGAGCCACCGCACCCAGCTGCATGTGTCTTTATAGTAGAATGATTTATAATCCTTTGGGTATACACCCAGTAATGAGATTGTGGGGTCAAATGGTATTTCTGCTTCTAGATCATCACTGGACAGTAGAGAAATACAAATCAAAACCACAATGAGATACCATCTCATGCCAGTTAGAATGGTGATCATTAAAAAGTCTGGAAACAACAGATGCTGGCGAGGATGTGGATAAATAGGAATGCTTTTACACTGTTGGTGTGAGTGTAAATTACTTCAACCATTGTGGAAGACAGTGTGATGATTCCTCAAGGCCCCTTTAAATTAGAGTTTCCTCTGTCTGATAGCAGAGGAGAAAGTCACAGAGTTTCAATGGACTGGAAGGATTTGTCACACTATTAAGGCTTGAAGATGGACAGTTTTATATGCAGAGTGAAGAACAATCTCTAGATGAAAGACTCTGAGATAATAGCCAGCAAGAAAACTGAGGAGGGTGTGCCTCTCTCTTATAACCACACAGAAATGAAGACTACCAACAACCTGAATGAAACTGGAAGTAGATTTTTTTCCTAGATATTTCACAAAGTAAACTATTATGGAATAGAATTTGATTTAAGCCTTGTGAGACACTAAGGAGAAAACATAATCAAACCTATTTGGACTTCTGACTTACCGAACTGTGAGATAATTCATGGGTGTTGTTTTAAGCTGCTCATTTTGAGATGATTTTTTTTTTCACAGCAAGAGAAAACTAATATAAATCGTGTGCAAATTATTGGATATGTCTGTTTGTAAAAATATGTTTTCTTTTCTCTTGGGTAAATAACTAGGAGTAGAATGACTATATGATTAGCTAGGACTATGTTTAGCTTCATGAAACAACGCCAAAATGTTTTCCAAAGTTATTGAATCATTTTACGTTTCTACTACAAATGTGGGAATGAGTTAGAGCTCCACATTCTTGACGAAACTTTGAATTATATATATTTTTTAGCCATTCTAGCTGGTAAGCAAGTTATCTCATTCCTACTTTAGTTTGAATGTCTCTAATAACTAATAATGTTAAGAATCTTTCTATGTGTTTATTGGTTATATATTCTTTTGTAAATATATGTTCAAAATATTTTGTCCATTTTTAGTCGTTTTTTTTCTGTATTGATTTTTTGAGTTATTTATACCATCATGTATTCTGGAAAAAATGTCATGGTAAGATATATGTGTGTGTGTGTATGTGTGTGTATGTGTGATTCCCGTCAAACATATATACGTTTGTGTATGTAAATGTGTGTGTTTCCCCATCAGGTAGCTTACATCTTCATTTGTTTAAATATGCTTTTGAAAATCAAAAGTTTTAATTTTTATAAAGCCTTGTTTATAATTTTTTAAAATTTTCTGCATGTTTTCTGTGTCTTCACTATAAATTTTTTCCCACTTATATTCCCTGAAGGCATTATTTGAGAAGAACTTTTAATAACCGTTTTGTAGCAATATTGTTATACCCCTTTTACTTCACATGGCTTTGAATCTACAAGGTCATATTTTGGAGGAAAGTCATGATTGAAGAACAAGATGTTAGTATTTAACATATTCAAGTAATCAGTATATTATTTCAAATAGTTATTTTCTTATTTCTAATTAAATGTAACCTTTTCAAAATAGAAAATTATTGCTGAGATAATATTCTCTGAATCTAATTAAAGTAAATTCAAATTAGCTTGCAAAATAATCACAATTTCAAGATTGTAGTAACATACTAGTAAAAAATAAGATAATTTTATCTTCTTTTTGATCAATATCCTTATTTTTATTTTAAAAATTGTTGAATAACTAGGGTTGAGAATTGTTCAATTTCACTTTTATTCTTTTCACTGTAACTTACCTCAGACCACATTGGTTATGCAATTTATACACTCCTCCACCCAAAAAACCCTCAGACACCTCTGATTGCCAATATAAAGGGAACTAAACGTGCTCATTTGAGACTCACTTAAATGATGTTATCATTGTAGCTGCCAGGTTCAGGATCACCACGTTATAGATTTAAACTTTGGCTACCCCCTAAAACATTTTAACTCACATTGCATTACCTGTATTCCTTGCATTGGCCATTGTGGATAGAAGAAGCCAAATGACTACGCTTCAGGCTAATTTACCCTGGCTTAAGATACATTAAATAATCTTCCATGTTTAATTTTTTAATCATTGCAGCTGTTCCTTATTTCCTTTTTAGTCTTCCCCTCTTTCTCTGCCTTCTCTAGTTTTAACTGAGCATTTTATTCATGATTTCATTTTCTCTTCTCTTTCATCATATCAATTATACATTTTAAAAATTTAGTAATTGCCCCAGATTTACTAAATTGCTTCAGTAATATAGAGTTACAACTAACCTAAGTCCACTTTCAAATAACACCATACCACTTCAGAAGTAATGCAGGTAACTTATAACAGTATATTCTTGATTTTTCTTCACACTTGTTATAACATTATTGCCATTCATTTCACTTATCCGTGTGCTATAATTACTCAATATATTCTGGGTAGTATTAATTTAAAAATATTTTATGTATTAGTTGATAATACAGGTATTTCTACTAGAGTCAATGTCCCTCAGATTTTGTTTTCTGAGGGTCTTCTCCACTTTTATAAATAATTTTGCTGGATGCAGAATTCTAAGTTGATGTTTTCTTTCTCTCAATGCTTTAAATATTTCACTCCATTCTCTTCATGCTTTCATGGTTTCTGACAATAAATCCAGTGGAATTCTCAGCCTTGATACTCTATAGATGGGTGTTTTCCTCCCCTGTTGGCTCTATTCAAGATTTTTTCTTTAAATTTGGTTTTCTGCAGTTGAATATGATAAATCTGGTTGTGGATGTTTTTAGTTCTGTTGTGAGCTCTCTCTAAACTTCCTGAATTTATTTTTTGGTACCTCTATTAATATTTTAAAAATATTTGCCATAGTTACATCAAATATGTTGTCTGCCTATTTTTCCCTTACTTGTCATTCTGGCATTCCCATTACATGAGGATAATTAGGCTTTTAGTGTGAGTTTTCATCTAAATATGATTAGGAGTTGTTCCACATTGGGAAATAGAACCTTTACAATGAAGTCCTAAGGGTGGGTTTCGACTCCATATGACTGGTGTCTTTGTAATAAAAGGTTAGAACACAGACAGGCATAACAGGAAAACCATGTGAAGAAATTGGAAGATGGTCATCGAGAAGCCAAGGAGAGAGACACTCAGAAGAAAGCAGTTCTGTGGATACCTTGACATCTAGTCTCCAGACCTGTGAGAAAATATATTTCTGTTTTTTTACGTCCCCTGCTTGGTGATACTTTTTAATAGAAACTTTGGTAAACTAATACAGTAACTATTTTAAAATACACCCAGAATATTCTCCGTAAACTGACTGGCCTTCTATAGGAAATTATGTTACCAGAGCTGTAAAAATAAAACACAAAAATAAAAATGCAAGCAGAATTCACACACACACATACATACACAAACACACACACAAACTATGAAAGCTCTATAGCAAACACATTCTGGAATAATTAGAGCCTCCTCCTGAAAGAGAAGTAGGTTGACTGGCCCCCAGATGTAGATCTTCTTTCTTCATATAATCCTTGTAAGCCTCTAAAGTCCAGTGTCATTTTGATATCAGCACATGGCTTGCTGGAGTATGTTCTAAAAAGAGCAGCCAAATCTAATTTGCGTGTGTGCATGTGCTTAATCAGCCCATTTGCTTTGCTGCTGTTTGAGCATCTATAGAATGCCCCATCTTGACAAGTTTCCCTTGCCCCTTTAATTTTTTTTTTGTCCTTTACCTTTCAGCTATAAAGCATTCAAATTCATGTAGGGTTTGTTTGCTTCTTTTTGTGTTTGTTTGTTTTTCTTTCAGGGATAGAACTGTGGAAAGGCCTGATCTCTTGTTCTCTGCATGCTAGCAGCATAGCAAGCTGGGAATTTCCTATTGCAGTAATTCACCTCTCTTTTAAATTACCTATTTGTTGTAGACCTTTGTTGGCTGATATACACCTTTGCTGACACCATCTTAGTATCTGGAACAGACTTCTTTGAGGTGCCCTCACTATTGTGGCCAAGTAATGCTTGTGGCCGCCCACTCAGGGAAAAGAAAACACAATGACAATTTTAACCTATTTTACTTGACAGTCTTGATGTAACTTATTTTATTTTATTATTTTTATTTATTTTTTTATTATTATACTTTAAGTTCTAGGGTACATGTGCACAACGTGAAGGTTGTTACATATGTATATATGTGCCATGTTGGTGTGCTGCACCCATTAACTCACCATTTACATTAGGTATATCTCCTAAGGCTATCCCTCCCCCCTCCCCCAACCCATGACAGGCCCCGGTGTGTGATGTTCCCCTTCCTGTGTCCAAGTGTTCTCATTGTTCAATTCCCACCTATGAGTGAGAACATGCAGTGTTTGGTTTTTTGTCCTTGCGATAGTTTGCTGAGAATGATGGTTTCCAGCTTCATCCATGTCCCTACAAAGGACATGAACTCATCATTTTTTATGGCTGCATAGGATTCCATGGTATGTATGTGCCACATTTCCTTAATCCAGTTTATCATTGTTGGACATTTGGGTTGGTTCCAAGTCTTTGCTATTGTGAATAGTGCTGCAATAAACATATGTGTGCATGCATCTTTATAGCAGCATGATTTATAATCCTTTGGGTATATACTCAGTAATGGGATGGCTGGTTCAAACGGTATTTCTAGTTCTAGATCCCTGAGGCATCGCCACACTGTCTTCCACAATCGTTGAACAACTTAACAGTCCCACCAACAGTGTAAAAGTGTTCCTATTTCTCCACATCCTCTCCAGCACCTGTTGTTTCCTGAGTTTTTAATGATTGTCATTCTAACTGGTGTGAGATGGTATCTCATTGTGGTTTGATTTGCATTTCTCTGATGGCCAGTGATGATGAGCATTTTTTCATGTGTCTTTTGGCTGCCTAAATGTCTTCTTTTGAGAAGTGTCTGTTCATATCCTTCGCCCACTTTTTGAAGGAGTTGTTTGTTTTTTTCTTGTTAATGTGTTTTGAGTTCTTTGTAGATTCTGGATATTAGCCCTTTGTCAGATGAGTAGGTTGCAAAAATTGTCTCCCATTTTGTAGGTTGCCTGTTCACTCTGATGGTAGTTTCTTTTGCTGTGCAGAAGCTCTTGAGTTTAATTAGATCCCATTTGTCACTTTTGGCTTTTGTTGCCATTGCTTTTGGTGTTTTAGACATGAAGTCCTTGCCCATGCCTATGTCCTGAATGGTACTGTCTAGATTTTCTTCTAGGGTTTTTATGGTTTTAGGTCTAACATAAACAGAACCAAAGACAAAAGCACATAGTTGTCTCAATAGATGCAGAAAAGGCCTTTGACAAAATTCAACAGCCCTTCATGCTAAAAACTCTCAATAAATTAGGTACTGATGGGACGTATCTCAAAATGATAAGAGCTATTTATGACAAACCCACAGCCAATATCATACTGAATGGGCAAAAACTGAAAGCATTCCCTTTGAAAACTGGCACAAGACAGGGATGCCCTCTCTCACCACTCCTATTCAACATGGTGTTGGAAGTTCTGGCCAGGGCAGTCAGGCAGGAGAAAGAAATAAAGGGTATTCAATTAGGAAAAGAAGAAGTCAAATTGTCCCTGTTTGCAGATGACATGATTGTATATTCAGAAAACCCCATCATCTCAGCCCAAAATCTCCTTAAGCTGATAAGCAACTTCAGCAAAGTCTCAGGATACAAAATCAATGTACAAGAATCACAAGCATTCTTATACACCAATAACAGACAAACAGAGAGGCAAATCATGAGTGAACTCCCATTCACAATTGCTTCAAAGAAAATAAAATACCTAGGAATCCAACTTACAAGGGATGTGAAGGACCTCTTCAAGGAGAATTACAAACCACTGCTCAACGAAATAAAAGAGGACACAAACAAATGGAAGAACATTCCATGCTCATGGATAGGAAGAATCAATATTGTGACAATGGCCATACTGTCCAAGGTAATTTATAGATTCAATGCCATCTGTATCAAGCTACCAATGACTTTCTTCACAGAATTGGAAAAAACTACTTTAAAGTTCATATGGAACCAAAAAAGAGCCCGCATTGCCAAGTCAATCCTGAGCCAAAAGAACAAAGCTGGAGGCATCACGCTACCTGACTTCAAACTATACTACAAGGCTGCAGTAACCAAACCAGCATGGTCCTGGTACCAAAACAGAGATATAGACCAATGGAACAGAACAGAGCCTTCAGATATAATACCACACATCTACAACTATCTGATCTTTGACAAACCTGACAAAAACAAGCAATGGGGAAAGGATTCCCTATTTAATAAATGGTGCTGGGAAAACTGGCTAGCCATATGTAGAAAGCTAAAACTGGATCCCTTCCTCACACCTTATACAAAAATTAATTCAAGATGAATTAAAGACTTAAATGTTAGATGTAACTTATTTTAAAAGAAAAAAAGAAAAATTTTAAACAAAAGTTCAGTTAGAATTTCTTCAGGTAACTGAGGGGCACCATGATGGTAGACAAATGTAAATGCCTTACGAAATATATCAAAAAGGGCATCATGCACAATATTGTTGATGTAATTTGAAAAATCATGAAAATATTTCCATGAGATGTGAAAACGCTAGGTATATTCAACAACAACAACAACAACAACAACAAATTAGGGGACATAGCCAGTCACAAAATCTCAATAAACCAATGCATTGTCTTTTTAGTCAGCTATTTATAAGCTATTTACAGCCATGCTTCCATCTACTTTGGCTTACTTTCTAGGCACAGAAATTAGTAGGGCAATGAAGGAAATCTGAGGAAGAACATTGTATGTGTCTGTTTTTTTCCACAAGGAAGATGAAACTTCTGTTTTTTAAGCCTCAGCTGATGGATGGGTAGTTCATTTTATTTCTGATTTGACTTCAGTAGATTTGTGGATAATTTATATGACTTCAATGAATGGATTGACATTTCATATTACTTAGATCAAGGATGTAAGACCTACCTAAAATTGGATACTGACCTTGCCTTGGGTGGTTAAATGCCCACACTTCTCTGTTTCTGATGAAAAAATAATAAAAATAAATCTTGGTAATCCTGTGGAAGAATTGCTTGGGGAAAACAAACCGCATTATGGTTTATCCCAGTTTAGAGTGTCAGACCTTAATTTATTGCAAATCAATGCATATAACCCTAATAGATTAGTATAGGGCCGAAAGGGTTTGAATCACTTTTTTAATATTCTATGATATGTATTGACAAAATGCTCCCCATCTATGTCAACAAATGTCTTGGGATGATGTTGCAGACTTCACTTTCCATATGGCCCAACTAGATGGGTCAATTTTTGCATGTCCCATCCAGAGATATCACTGGAAAACTACGATCTAACATTAGTCAGAGTCACTGGATATATTTAATGAATGCCCAAGGACCAAAGGTGGACTGAATAAGGTCTGGAGTCTCATTAACTGCATTTTTAGTAACTTAGGAGATCCAGCTGCAAATCTGAGTTAGCACAAGAGAAACAGAGGCTGATAGCAATCACTAGGTTGTAAAACCTTGCTCATTTGAGAAGGCCAGTTACCAGATGAAGAAGTTTATATTGCTACATAGCTGCTGTGTGATGACAATGTTAATGGCCTCAATTTTTACCCTTCCCAGTGTAGATATTCTTTATCATTATAGATAAATTTCCAGAGTTCTGCTTTTCTGACTTTGTACTGAGCCATGTAACTCTCTTTGTACAAAGGGATAATTGTAAATATTACACTATAAGAAACTTTTTCACCTGTCCATTTGCTCTTCCTGAATTTTTCCATCTCTAAAAGAAGATGATGTCCAAACTAGGCTGATGAAAGAAGAGAAATGTGTGGTTTAATTACCTCTATTGTCCTAGGCAACAACAAGTAAAATGACATTTTGGTAGTGGAATACAGCAATGACTAGAAAAGTTACCCAGCCAAACGAAGATAAATTGTCTACCTGCAGGTTCACGAGCTAAACAAAAGCATATAATTTTAAGCCACTGAAATGGGAGTGGTTTCTTATGCAACATTATGTGCAGAGTATTAAATGTGTGGGTTCCCTCTCAATTGAAATATTGGTCACTGTGCATGCAGACTATCTATATCTAACTTAAAGTGTGTTACATTGGGAACTTTGGACATTATACTTCTTTCAACTACTCTACTTTTAAGTTTGCTCCTAAAAAACTTTATTTATATCTGCAATTTTTGTGGCATTTCCCTCTACTTGAGATATCACCATACCCCTATTTGATATCATTTGATTTTGTGTGTGAGAGACATTATAAATAATAATCAGTGACTTTATAGAAGATTAGAACAATAACAAAGAATTTTTGGGACAATAAACCATAAATTTACTTACAATCTCACCAACCGGAAAATAAATGTATTGTTATTCTATTGTTTAATCTTTGTCTTTTTATGCAGAGATAAAGATATATTAATGATAAATTTTATTAATTTTGCTTAAAACATTTATTTATTAATTCAAGAACTCTATATTGAGGACCTACTATGTACCAGGCATTGCTGGATATACTGAATTCAAATGAAACCATCTAAACAACTGTATAACAGATTTTACTTAGATTAGATTTTTTGTCTAATGATTTCATAGGGAGTTTTTCATTTTTAGAAACACCTTATTCATATACAATTTTCACGTTTACATTATTTATCTACATGTGTATATATCATACTTTTCAACCAAACATTAACCGTGAATGACATATTTGTACATCATTTATATATTTAATTTCTATAAATAAAAATCTAAAACATTCCTATATCTTAAGCTATTAGTACCCACAATTTCTCAGTCAGAACTACTTCACTGCTGGTGGACCTGACCAAATTGATCATTAACAGAGTTGGGTGTAAGGGACATGAGTTAATTCAGTGGTTTAACCCAAAGCAACCAGGATTCAGTTCAAGCTGAAATAATTGAGAAGTATTCAGGGTTAATGAAGTGGAGTGAAGGATGATTCTCAAGCCCAAAGAACTTCAAAGAGCGAGTCTGAATATTAGAACACAAAGGGATCAAGATTGAGGTTCAAACAGTAGTGTTGTACTACAGATTCCATCCAGATATTTAGGGCCTTTTTCTATTTCTGCATTGATCAGAATCAGGTCTCAGACATGTGTATACCCAACAAAGAAAACCGCCCATATACTAGAGTTCTCCCTTTTCTCTGTTAAAACCACTATAAAATTCAACTAGGTTGTTTTCCATTTCTATCTTGGTGACTGTTTCGTTGATAAATCTTATCTAAGATTGTTATGACTGTTTATAGCATTAACAATCAAACAGGACCTCTTTAATATAATATTACTTGAACTAAAAGAGTTAATGTGTACTGATTGGGTTTTCTGGCTAAGGGAAGCAAATGCAACATAAGTCAACCCTAAAATAACTACTGGCACTAATGACTAGTTTTTCTACTCGGATGCAGAATATTTTGATTGACATTACAGTCAATTCAATCACAAAATAGCTGTCAGGTGTTTTATGTTCCTGCTCATTCATGTAACCTGTGATATTTTGTTTCCCTGTGGTATTTATAGCAAACAGAGTTGTTAAGCATTTGGTTCCTTATAATCACTGAGAATATTACAATTGGATTTTTATAATCAGTGGTTAACAAAACCTGTTACAAAACAATTTAAAACATACTTTGCTTGTTTCTGTGCATTAAGATTACCACTTTCTTCTGTATTTTCATTTAAAAGGGATTGAAAAAAAAGCTAATGATATATTTCTCATAGTTTACCTCTGTTGACATTACAAATCCTGCTGTCAGTTTGACAGTAATCCTCCTTACCATGGATGATGCAAGGAACTGTGTATAACAGTAATATATTGCAGTAAGACTTTAAACTCAAATATTAGCCTAAAATCTTTGTTTTTCTGGATGAGTAGGGAAGTTTTAAAAGATGAAAATTAATGTGCTGAGGTCTGAGGTGAAACATAAGGGGTAAGTATGGCCCATAATATTGTGAGAAAGAACAAGGTCAGCCATGTGAATTAACAAGGCAGAGATGTATGATGAGACATTAAACTTGGCAGGGAAATAGACTACCTGAAATCTATGATGGTCAAAGGCAGCACTAGTAGAGACTGCTTTGTGACTGAAGGTCTTAGTAACTGAATTATTGAATCTAAATCAATTCTGAAAATACCAATGCGTCATACTGTGAAATTACTTTCCTAAAGTTATTGCAGGCAAGTTTCTGCTCTGTTAAAATTTAAACATAGCTTCCAGAAAAAGATATCAGAAATATATATGTGTGTGTGTATATATATATCTCCCAAGTTTAATTCTTTGCCTAAGACACAGCTGGAAATTATAATTCTGGTAGGTTAAGGCCCATTGATACTAAACACAAATAATTTATGTTATTCCAAGAAATTGCAGAATAGTAAAAGCCTATTAACTCCTGATATATAACTTGATTATATATCATTGACAATATTTGTAAATTAACCAATAATGAAATTATTGAGCTGAATGAAAAATAAAGTATTCAATATTTAATTAATGACTTAGAGAGAAGGAAAATAAAGTGATCTATAAAAGTTAGAGAAAAAATAAATTGATTCATAAATGTGTTTCAAGAGTGGAGATACAGAAAGTGAGCTGTCATGCCTAATAGTACAAGCATACTACATTTTTACTGGAAGATAGTACAAGCAATTAATGTCAAGCTCCTTGAATCGGCAAACTGCAACAGCTAGTAAAATTCCACTACAGTTAAATTGGAGACTCTGAGAATAAATTTCAAATTATGCATATTCAGAAATCCTAACTTATGCTTATGACACTATATTTATTATATCAATTATAATGTGTGCATAATACGCTGCACAATCAACACCATAAGTGACAGTCTCCAGTCTACTGTCTTCTCCTGTAATCATAAGCTTATACATAAAAACTTAAGAATATTATCAGTAATTCCTTCTATCATCCAAACCCAACCAGTTATATGACCTTAGGATTTGCTATCATGAGGCAAACATATTATAATCTTCTAAATGACACTTCATTGACAGCAAAGCACTCATACCTTTGAGAACTTTGGCTTCACTGCTGCTCCATTAAAATTCAAAGCTATCTTTCAAAAAGATTACCACTTCTCTCATTTCTCGTAGAATATAAAAACATTTATCATTTGTCTACCTTGAATCCAAGAGAATTCTCCAGTTAATCTTTTGATTCTATCTGTTCCTCCTTGCCCTCTCTCCAATGTTTCTACTGGGAAATTTTTATTGCCATTTTACTGAATTATTTGTATAGTATATATTAATGATATTGATCAGTTTTCCACCCTACATTTGCAATTTAAAAAAATTTTTCAATTTTAATTCTGTTTACAATAATTTTGGTTTCTTTAAAATATTAAGACATCATTTTAAATGTTTGTCATGTCTATTTATACATATTTTTTCATTAATTTTACACCTTAACATACTTCATCAAAGATTAAATATTCTCATTCTTTTACATTATGTATATATGCAATGACATCTATTTTCACTGAATTGTGGTGCCCTCCTTTTATATTATTTAAAGATTGCCCCATATCAAGCACAGTTACTTAAATACAATAAATGGTTAACAAAATTCTTTGGTATTGAAATAAATTGGCTTGCCATTAAAGGTAACAGGAACAGAACAACATACAATTGTTTCTATTAATAATATACACAAATTGCTCTTATACTAAATTTGGGTTATGTTAGCCAACATTCTTTCAGTATGACAGGTTAAATATAACAGTAAAAATTAAATAAAATGCAAAAGAAAATATATTTTTCCATTTATTAAAAGCTTTAAGTATTCCACTATATGACAATCATAATTTCTTATATTTTCTAAAAAAAAAATTTACTGTCTTGGTTGAAAGTGGAAATAACTACATATTATGAATATAGAAATAAGAAATAAAAATAATCCAAAATTATATTAACTAGACTAAAAATGGGTTGTGAATCCTCATATTTGCAAACCTGCAGTATCTTGGCATTTTGTTCTATACAGCATATCATTGGTTTCCTCTGCATTCCATAGTTATTTAAATCAGAATATATGAGATTGAAAAAAAGTTTATTGAAATTGACTGATCTTACATGATGAAATAATACTTGTCAAATAGTGCAAGACATTTATATCTGTGCTAGAGAGACCACCTGACTCTCATAAGTAATATTTTGTTATTTTCAATGAGCAGAAGAAAAATAATTACCCCTTTGATATGTATTCTAAAAAAGACTTTCCGACCATTTTTTCTGTAAGCTATAAATACATTAATACATTGCTCAGACCAATATGCCGCTGAAACTCTCAGCTATCTCAGCAAATAAAAAATTGAGATTTCACAGACGTCATTTCATCTAATTTTCTAAGGGAATCAGTGCTTATGTACCCAGGGATCCATGCAAATGATCCATAGAGATGATATTTCTAATACCTTAGAAGTCTGCTACTATAAGCCTTTTTCTCCCTATTAGTCATCTTATTGTCACCAAGTCCTAGACTTTTATATTGCCATTAAACTACCACCTCTCCATAATCAATTTCAAACATTCTATTTCCCAAATATCACCTTCTATATTTCCAGCTCACTCTCTCTAGTCTCCCAGTTCCAAAAATAATTTAACTGTTTAGGGACATTGACCCATGGATCCAACTATCTTTCACCCAATCATATCTTCACTCAATCAATCATGTTTACTCTTTTACTATTTTTTACCCAATCAAATCTTCACTTTTCTCCTTCCTAAGTTTGAATTTCATGATCAATCATTATCGCTGCCATTCATACTATCCCAATACCCTAGTTTCTCAATCACTTTATGTTAGGCTTTTAATACAGCCTTATTTAAATACAACATTCTACTTATATCTTGTCTGCCTCTATACAAGTGAAAGTGGCTGGAATGATACATTAACTCTACATATTCACAACAATGCTGACTGGTTGGTTTCACTTTAAATGTATGATTCACTAACCACAAGTGGACTCACAATACTTCATTCTATATTTCCCTTGTCTATGTACCCTCCCGGTCTCCTACTAGAATACTGCTTTATCCTCTCTCTACATAGTCAAGTAAATATAAATAGAAAAGGACTTGTCTAGGTTTTCACTACCATCTCCACCAACAACTTTCACCTAATAATATCTACTACCTTCTCATCACTACTATAGATACTCAGTGCCTTTAGATACGAACAACCCCTAATCATATGCAATTAAGCTAATATCTGCTGAAAACTCAAGAATATCACGTAGCAATTCTCCTCTGTCTCTTTTATGTACAATTGATTTTTCCTTCTCTATTGAAATATTCCCCAAAGTATGTAATTTTACCCCATTTAAAAATATATATAATATGTGTGTGTATACATACACACACATATATATAAATATATATATATAATCAGCTATATAATTTGTGTGTTCTTTTTGTTGTTGTTGTTTGTTTGTTTGAGACAGGATCTCAGTCTGTCACCCAGGCTGGAGTGCAATGGTGAAATCATGGCTCACTGTAGCCTCAACCTCATGGGCTCCAGCAATGCTCCTACCTCAGAAGGATACCAGTCCTCCAGGCAGACATCAGGCCCCAGGTGGACACTGGACTCAAGGTATACACAAGGCCCCAAATTGACAACCAGCCCCAGAGGTACACCAAAGCACTAGGTGTACAACAGGCCCATGTTGAACTCCAGAGTCATGTGGACATCAGGCTGCAGGTAGACACCATGCCTTAAGTAGATAGGTAGACTCCAGGTGGATATTAGACCCAAGGTACACACCCAGTCCCCATGTGATTGTCAGGCCCAGATGAAAACTAAGGCCTTAGGTGAACATCAGGCCTTAATGGACACCCAGGTCCCAGGTTGATACCCAGATCCCAGGTGATCACCAGGTCCCTGGTGGACACCAGGTCTTAGGTTACCAATGGGACCCATTAGGCCATCAGTCCACAACTGGATACCAGTCCCCAGGGACACAAGGCCGCAAGTGAAACATAGGCCCAAGGTGGACACCAGGCCCCAGGTGGATACTCAGGCCTGAGGAGGACATCCAGCCCCTGGTGAACATCAGGCACAGGTGTCCAAGCAGGCTCTGGGTGGACCTAACTGTGTACAGGTATGGAATTGACCTGTGGGGAGGGTAAGCAGTCAGCAGCCCAGTGGGGTCCTTAGTAAGTCTTATGGTGGGAAGGGGCCGAGAGGACGGAACCTTTAAGACGCACCCTCACTTCCTTAATGACAGACCCGAATAAAACTTAGAACTCTGGTAACCAGGCACCCATATCCTAGAGCCAGCCCTGTAGCCAGCTCACTTGGTGGGAGATGTTGAGGAGAGCAAGATGTTCTCGACCCACATTTCAAGGGTCCTGCTTCAGGAATGGAAGGAGTGACAGCCTTTTCCAATGATGCCGACGTAGGCTTATTGCTCACCCCAGACGCCTCTGGCCATTTAGCCAAAGGCACCCCCAGGTATTACAGGGCAGCCCAGGGCAGGCCCTACCAGGCCAGGTTTTACCAGTGATCCTATCTGGGCCACATCTGCACATTGTCCTTGTCTGGCTGGAGATTCTGGAGCCCATCGAGGCACAGGCATATGGTGAAGTGGCCTGCAGTCTGGAAGACTCTGTGGGGGTGTTGTTTTTGGGCTGGAATTCCTTTAAATTCAGTGAGGTTGTTTCCACGTTTGGAAATTCCAGTGGAAAGTGACTGATGTTGATGACTCTTTCTCCTTTTTCAGCTCCTGCTCCATATGCAGCAATACAGGAAATTCCAGTGCCAGCTGTTGAGCCAGTGCCAGCGCCAGGGGAAGAGCCCCCTCCAGGGACAGCGCTGGAACTAGAGGCAGCTCCAGAGTCTTCCTGCCCCTGCCCTGGTACAGCCAAGGACCAGCCCAGGGAGGAGCTGCCTGACATCATGGAACCTGCTGTGGCCACTGGCATTAGCCCTGGAGCTGAAAGCGTGAGTGGAGCTAGAGGTGACAGAGTTGGGGTGGTCAGCGGAGCCCCAGCCAGCAGCTCCCATGCTGCTCCCAGTCCTGGGCACAGTGGGAGCCATGAAGGCAGAGACCAGGGTGTGTAGCCTGGGCTTCTCTACCTCGCTGGAGGGAGGCTTCTCTCATTCAGCAGAGCTGCAGCCCTGTTGCTGCAGGACCTGTTCATTCTGCTGGTGCTGGGGGTGTATATATGCTGGCAGGAGGTGATTGAGAGCAGGAAAAGGAGCCTGCGAGGAGGGGTTCCAGCAGCTCCTCCTGCTCCCAGAGGCGGCCTCCTCCTCCAGGCATGGAGGTCTGCCCGCAACCGGGCATCTGGGCTGTTTGCCCCTAATCTGCTGCCCGGGACCGGCTCTTCTTAACAGGCGGGCAGGGGTTGAGGGGACCAGGGGGTGGCTCCAAAGTGTACAAGAACCAAAGCTTCCAAACTCAGCACTTGTGCCCCGGGGTCTCCATGCTGCCACCTGCCTTAGGATTTGTTCATAGTATTAGAATTACAAGTTTATAGCCTGGCGTGGTGGCAGGAGCCTGTAGCCCCAGCTGCTTGGGAGGCTGAGGCAGGAGAATGGCTTAAACCCGGGAGGCGGAGCTTGCAGTGAGCTGAGATCCTGCCACTGCACACAAGCCTGGGCGACAGAGTGAGACTGCGTCTCAAAAAAAAAAAACAAAAAAAAAGAATTACAAGCTTATACAATGATGTTTAAACAAAGTTTGAGTTTTTGAAACTTCATGCTTTCTTTAATTCCTTAGTGTTAGATGGTGTTTTTGAGGCTATCCTGAAAATCTCTGATAGTTGTGTCTTTTTGTTGTGGTTTGTTTATGTGATTGAATTACCATCAAATCAACTGTTACTGGAAACCTTTCAGGTATGGCTTTTAGAAAACCCTGACCTACTTTTGCCAGCTTTGACTCTCTGGTTTATTGTGGAAAGAGGGATCATGTAGGCTCACTTCTCCGGCAGATCAATCACCTTTTGCCATCAAGTATTTGGCATCAGAGTTTCCAAAAACTATGTGTACCAGCTGATATGCCGGTACTTTAGCTAATCCGGGTGCCAAAAACAGAATGCCGTAGACTAGGTAGCATATAAAATTTATTTCTCACAGTTCTGGAGATGGTAAAATCCAAGGTGAAATGGTCAGCAGATTCTGTGTCTGCTGAGGGGTGGCTTCCTGGTTCCTAGACAGACATGTTTTTACTGTGTCCTCACATGACAGAAGAAATAAGGGAGCTCTCTGTGGTCCCTTTGATAGGAGCACTAATCTCATTCATGAGGTCCCTAAACATATTTTTAAAAAGCTTCAACTTGATCCCTCTTCTCTCTAGAGCCACAAAAACTTTTCTCTTTTTTTCTTCTTAGCAAAACTCCTTCAAATAGATTATATTTGTAACTCATGGTGTCAAATGTTTCTCCTCTTATATTTTCTTCTGTGTATAGTGTTTCTAATGATTTACCAATAACTTCAAATTGTTAAATCCAATGACATTGTTTTGTCTCTCATATCCCTTGACCTATAAATAGTTTTTATTAGGGCCAATTACTTTTTTTCCCCCTTTGACAAACCTGCCGTTCTAGGGCAAGGTCTCGCTCAATTTTCAGTGGCCTCTCTGGCTTCCTATGTACTCCTTACTTTTGAATATTATGATGTTCCAGAACTCAGCCTTCTAGCTCTTCTTTGCTTTATGGCTGTGAGTATGATAATGATCATCAAATTTATTTATCCACTTATATATATCTAGACTTATATACCCAACTGTCAAGGTAACATGTCCCTTGTATATTTAATAAACATTTCAAACTTAACTATATAAAAACTAAACTCCAGATAGTTTTCTCAACATGTGCTTTTCTCACAGGCTTCTCCATTGTGATATAGGTAACTTCATTTTTTCCAGTTGCTCAGGCCAATGGCCTAGAGTCAATCTTGCAACCTCCTTTGTAATATACTCACATTTGATACTTCAGTAAATCTTGTTACTCTACATTTAAATTACATCTAGAATCTGAGCAGTTTCCACTCCCAGACTGATACAAATTTGAACCAAGCTGCTATAGATGTTTGATTGTTTAATTGTTATAGCTTACTGATTGGACAACCTGTTTCTATTTTACTCCTCCATGAGTCTACTCTTAAAGTTGCAACTGGATAAATATGTATAATTTTAATTCAGATAATACCACTTGTATAATTCAGCATCCACCTAGAAGACATAAACTGCATAGTAATTTAAATAAAAATAGTTTAAAATAAGTAATTATTTACTCTATCAGAAAGTTAGAGTAATGAAGAATTGGCAAATAAGAAGTACAAATAATTATGTATAGGAATAACAAATATAAAGACCAGCCACTGTTCCTACATCTGAGATAAAACACTCAGTGAAGATTGTGCCCCTCTCACCCCGGAACTGGGATCCAATTTATTGGAAAGGGCGTGTCCATGTCTAACTAGATGATGGAGAGTTGCTGAGATTGGAATGTTAAGTGAGGGTAGAAACAATGGTAAAACAGCAATATAATGTAAAATTCCTAAATAGTGCCATTGGAGATAGTGAATAAGTGTGCAGATCTCTACTGTGATACCTCATTTCTTAGAAGGACAAGGTAATGTGGAAACAACTGTTCAGTAATGTTTCATGACACCAAATTGCAGTTCTTTGTTTAACTGTGTTAACTGAGCTGGCATTAATTTCACTAAAATGATTTATTTTATGAAATTGCTTAACTGAGTAAATATATTATCAATGTCTTGTTTTGAAGACTCTGTCTAAATCTTTCCTGCTATTTTTGTTGGTTTTCAAAAGTTTGTGATTTTTTTTATTTCCTGAAGAAAAATCAATAGGTAAATTGTGTTATTAGCAAAGATCTAAGCAAAAGACAAAAAATACAAATAAATATGTGTGACTCAATAGAATATAAATATGTGTGTGTGTGTATACACATCTGTATATAGACACATATCTGTGTGAATATATAGGTTTGTGCAAAAGTAACTGTGGTTTTTGTCATTAAAAGTAATGGAACTATGCATATACAGAAATATAGAACTATGCATACATACAAACTATGTATAGAAATGTGTGTGTGTATGTGTGTGTATATATATATATATATATATATATATATATATATATATATATGGCCTGCTTTTATAATATTGGTAATTTTAATAATAGATAGCATAATAAAACCCAGTAGTCTTACTTAAAAGTTGCAATTTAGCACAGATTTACATGTTAGCTTTTCCACTCAGTTTCTACTAACAATAGTGCTGTGTACAACTGCATAATATAAAAAAAACAAATGCACGTATTATGACATTCAAGATTCAAAGTAGCATCATGATACGATTTATTTATATTGGGCAAAAAAGAAAGATGCTACTTTAAAAGCTATTTGCAAAACAACTGTTTGTAATAAACAGTTCAATTTTAAGCACCAAATTCACTTTTTAAATTGTGAAAAAACTCATTTATGGAAAACTATGTATTACTGAGGTTTACAACTATGAAAATAAATACCCAAAATCAAGTGTGTGTATTTTTCAGGTGAGGGTCAGCATATAATATCTAATCCTTGAAATAATAAAGTCAACTGCATATAATATATCCTTGTATTGTATATATTAATATCTGTTTTAGATAAAGGTTCTGTCAAATAGGATGTATATATTTATATATATTTGTGTAACGTAGATTTTAAAACAATCTAAGGTTTTGAGAATGGGTAAGATTCTAAATGTAAGCAATATTATCAGCCTGTTGAAAACAAAAGTCTAAAATATAATTCAAAAATAGCTAATTTATAACATTTAATTGATATCACAAACAAGAAGTGTTATTTCAAAATATGTCATAGATTGAAAATATTTTTTAAATATTTGAAGATAAAATTTAAAGAAATAATGGGGAATGAAAGACATATTATAAAATCCCGCATATAGTGGATACTTATTTCCCCAAATTTATGGTAAACTGTGACATTTTCTTCCAATTTTGCTTATAATTTTCTGTAGTTGCTCGCAATTCTCACCTAATTGTGTTTTGATAGATTTAGACAATTCAATATTGTCTTTTAAAGAAGTAAAGTTGATACAGTTCAAATCTCAGATTTTCAATTTTCTAGCTCCTGCTTTCAGGATATCTCTTTTTCTTTCTGAAACCAATTTTTCTCAGCTCACAAAAAGAACATAGGTAGTAATATATCTTTTGCAGAGCTTTATAAAGGTAATATAGGTAAAGTTAATGAATTCACTTGTTGCATGATAAGCAATTGTGCCTATTACTAATTTTAAAGTTAATTTCAATATGTAACATTTATATCTTTATGTAATGCATTTTATTTTAAACATAAAATTCAAGTTTGCAATTATTCTTGATCAGAAATCTAAACTAGTGAAAGTCATGTACTCAAAATGCATCATATTGTTATAAAAACATGAAAAAAGACTTGAATTTTGAAACATTACACTATATTTTCCCTTGGGTCATCAATCAGTAAGCTAATTAATAAATTCAAATTATTACCTTAACATTTACTGAAACCAGCTGCAAAGCTAAACTATTCTAGCAACTATCAGGCAATAGAATATTATAAGCTGTACCCAGGAGATGAGCTGCATAAAAGTATGCAGTGTGTGAATATTTTTTGTGATTTGTGAGAATACTTTTGTGAAATAAAATTTGTTCATATCTATATGAAGATAGTATTAACTAGATAAAACAATAAAATTTGGACATGTTATACTTTTATCTTTATAAACTCACAAACCAAACACATATAGCAATCAAATAGCTGACGCCTGTGGAATACTTAATATGAACCAAGTCCTATTTTAAATTCCTTACCTGCATAAACTCACATACATTTTGCCACAGACCAATGAGTTAGGTATATTAGCATGAGCATTTTGTAAATGAGAAAATTGAGTCAATGAGAGTCTTAAGCAAGTGGCCAAAGCTCACATAGCAGGTAAGTA
Organism: Homo sapiens; assembly: GCF_000001405.40. Taxonomy (NCBI): domain Eukaryota; kingdom Metazoa; phylum Chordata; class Mammalia; order Primates; family Hominidae; genus Homo; species Homo sapiens. The sequence goes on along the minus strand of NC_000009.12, from coordinate 30,666,338 downwards.
GCACACACAGTGTCACACCAACGATGACCCTTACACCCACCATCATTACCTATAACACAAGCAAAATGGGAAGTCCTGAAAGAAGTCCTATAATAAAATTTCCTCCTCATTTTCTATTACTTCCACTTCTTCTTTTTATAAATTACTTTAATTCCTCAGGTTTTCAATTAAAGTCATGTCTAATGAGTTGACATTCAAATACTCTTATGTAACTCAATGTTAAATGAAAAAGCAGACACAATTACAATATTAAGAGATATCTTTAATGAATATATTTAAAAAGTAGTTTCAAAATTCTATTAAGTTTAGTAATTATATCTGACAATACCCTTTATTCACTGTATGTTGTACCAGGGAGCAAAACCTGATAAACAGACAAATAAAATGAGGGTCTTATGGAAAACACTTCAGTACAACTTTGCAGTGAACCTGAAAAAATATTTTAGGCTTATCATATTTCAATTTTCCCAACCACCACACCTCAAAGTCTTTTTAAATTTATATATTATTCAATATAAATATCAGTTATAATTCTGCAGAGTGTGGCCACTGCTTCTCCCATCCTCCTTTCCCAAGGACGGTGGGGATTGCTATAGGGCTGGTAGGTAGTTTACCGTCCCTTCTATAGGCATAGATTTGGCACTGACATCACAGCTTCATAACCCCCACCACGGCCAGCTTCCCCTGCCTGTTATCCTAGATCCAGTCTGTTCTTGTTCATTGAGAATCCTGTGTTCCCACTTCAGTGACACCTGAATTTTTTTTTAATTGTCTTCAAGGAGGTAAGTCCCCATTAAAGGGTGAACTTGTAATAAATTGTAATTTCAAATAAACCTCATGTACTTGTGTTTATAAAGAAAAAAATATTAGTTATAATTTAAGTTATATATCATTTGGTCTATCATATTTAAATTGGAGGCATCTTACTATAACATATGGAGTGTGATTTAAATACTGGGTTAAAATATTGACTCTTGCCATTACTAGCTGTAAAACTGGGTGAGTCACAAGCTCTCTAAATCTCAATTTCCTAAGCTGTAAAATTCAGATAATAGTAGTTCAATGTCATGAGATTATTTGATATAATGTATAGGTAAGTGCTTTGTAATCTTTAAAATATGTAGATATTTATTATTATCTTATTGATATAATAATGTCTTGAATTCCATGCTGGGGATTACCTAACCAGTAAGAATATCTCATAATGAAAGTTTTTATGTTATTTATGGAGTTAGCTTGTGGAGTCACCTTCAATTTCTAGTTATAGATCTCTGTTATCTAGTGCATTGTACTGTATTATATGCTTTATATAGATTGTGCGCCTTTTATTGTAATCATAAAAAATAAGAGGACTATGTGCCAGAATGAAGTATTAATAACTGCTGTTTGCAACAAACTTTTCAAAAAATTGAATTTCTCTTTCTTCGAAAGTGATCCTCTCCAAAAAGTAATTCTGAAGAACTTTATTCTTTAATTTGGAGGGAACTTGTAGGGATAGTTGTAGAAAACACACTCTACGCTGCCTAAATGTTGTAACTACTTAAATATTAACTTCTGAATGAGAGCTAATATATAAAATCAACAGTCAATTTATCAAAAATCAGAATTTTGCATTTGTGTGTACATAAAAGCAGGTTTTAATAGTAAAGCTTCTCACAATATGTTTTTATTATCATGCTCACTACAGAGATACACATTAAATATCAACCATCAGCTACAAATATAAATTATCCAATTGCTTTGGAAGCCTTCAAGTAAATTACAATTTTGTCATTCAATATTTCTCTGTAGATTGTAATAAATGTTAATAATAATAAGGCTTAAGTAGGAAAACAAGTATCAGACAGAGCTCATGTCCCTGGAGAAAATGATGGAGCATTCCTGTGCACTAGTGATAGAAATTTTATGTGTGGGGATGCTCATTTGACAAGTCTGAAGAAGAAACTATTGCTTCAATATTTATATCTCTATTTTTCCATGTCTAACTTAATGACTCATTTAACATGCTTATAAATCCTGAGATAATATTAGAAATGTGTTTCATAATTATGTCTCAGTTCTTACATGGTATTTAAATTCTAGGGCATTACATATTACTGATCTACTGAGGTAATAACTTGAGACTTAACTCCTTATTGATTAAGATTAACTAATGCTGAAGGTTTAGGTAGCTTATTAAAGTGAATTTTTTTCATTTAGTCAAAGTGTGAAGTTGTCAGTGAATGATCTCTGTGCTGTGTAAATAAAATGGTCACAAAAATACCAATAAACGGTAGAGACACAGAATTGCCTCTGAATTTAAGTCCTTTTCTAGAACACATTTTTATTAGACAACTACATTTCACAATTATCTTCAGATATCACTTATATTTTTTTAATCTAAAATACCTGAGCTAGCATTACCTCCTTGACCCAGAAGCCCATCAGAAGGCAGTCTTGGTTGTAATGATACATCCTCATTTCATATTTGCCTTTGGAAGGCAAGAGTCAATTAAACTTCCTCATTGCTCTAAGAAGTATCAGATTTGGCAGCAGTATTACTTATGCTCTAGAAAAATACAAGGAGGTATTATTCTTTGCCATCCAATATTGATATAATTTTTTAAATTATAAATGTGTTATCAATAAAATACTTTTATAAAATTACAGTTCTATTCATGAATCTCTGTTTAATCTTTCTTCAAAACATGAACATCACACAATCCACTAGGGGCTATCTGAGAATTAAAAATGTTTACTTTAGAAGGGCTGCTTTAAAATGGTCCTCTAAAACCAGGCTTTAATATTATTCAACAATAATGAGTTTACCTAAATCTACATTGAAAATTTTAGCAGAGCCTGCTTCCATGTATTTACACATTTCTTTTTTATCAGAAAGTAAAAATCTGAATTAATTAAGCTGTAATGAATGACAAAGTATTATAATACAGAAAACTGCAAAGAAGACACTAATTCCTTTGGGGGACAAGACTCAGAAATGGATTTTCTTCAATTGGCCATGACATCTATTAATGGTCTCATAAAACGTAGCCTGAAATGCTTTGTGTTTTTTAGAGGATTAAGGTCTTTTGGTTTATTATACTCATGGTCAAGCTTTCTCAAAAATTATTCATATTTTGAATTGTGTTATTTCTGTTAAGAAGGGTAAATGCTGAGTGTGAAAATAAGGAGAAAAAAGGCCAATAGTATCCAGGAATATTCTCTTTTGTCAATTATTGTACTTGCTATCTTTTCTCTCTTTCTTTCAATGTGCATTGCATTGCTACTTCTTTGAAATCTCTTAATCTTTTCTATACAAGTTTAACGATGTAGTTATCCTATGTCGACTAAAATTTTCCTTTCAATTTCAATACTGAGAGCCATTTTGTATTTTTACAACTTATATCCTTCAAAAAAAAAAAAAAGAAGCAGATTTCAGCTGCCACAGAGACAGTCTGAGGGCAAGATCAAGCTGGGCATTGCTAAGGAGGAGGCTGTGCAAAGACCTTAAGATATCTCTATTTGGGTATTTCAAATAGAATATCATTTTTACCCATACATTTTTTGTTTACAGCGAGTTTCATAGCTACTCATCCAACCCTGGGTTATCTCTGAGAAGACAGTGCAGGATGATATCTCCTTTAGAATTGGAAAGTTGCTGTGAGAGATTTCACATACTGGTGAGGGTTACTTTCCCATTGTATCAATGTGGAAAGGACATTCAGTGGAAGGGTGGGGAGTAGAAACTTCTTTGAAAACTTAATGTTTCAGTTGAGTTATGGTCATGGTTTATAAGGACTTCCTATATTTACAAAGAGATAGAGACATATATATATATATATATTATGAAGAATTGGCTCAAAGAATTATGAAGACTGAGACACTCCCTGCTTTATTGTCTGAAAACTGAAGACCCAGGAAAGCTATTGGTGTTATTCTGTCACATCTGAAGGCTTGAAAACTAGAGGAGCGGATGTTGTAAATCTTACCTAGTCTAAGAGCAGAAGAAGAGGAGATAAGTTGTCCCAGTATATCAGTGAAGCAGGAAAAACAGAAGGGCAAATTTCTTCTTCCCCAACTTTTGTTCCATCCTGGCCCTTGATGGCCTGGAAGGTATCCATCCACATTCAGAAAGGCAACCTGCTTCACTGAGTTCACTGATTCAAATGCTAATCTCATCCAGAAACACCCTCACACCGAAATGACCAGTCATGCTGACACATAAAATTTTATGCGTATCCATCACATGCCTTTAGTATTGTGAGTGAAAATTAGAACATTTAAACGGCTGGACGTTAAGTAGGTAGGCTAATAATATGGGTAAGCAGGTGGCTACGATGTAGGTAATGGGGATAAAAGCAGAAAGAAAGATTTATGTAGCCCACAGGCTACAAATATTCAATTGAAGAATTGTTCTGAGAGAAGAAAATGTTGCAACACGTATTTGTGGCTAAAATTAAAGGCTTGAAATAATGCCAAACCAAAGCAGTTTTCACTTAATTTGTATATTATCATTGCAGTTTTGAATTTTAAAAATAAAGAGAGATGTGAGGAGAAAAAGCTGTAGGGAGCAAAACCCTTGTGCAGGGCTGGTCCCTGGTTTGTGACCTAAGCAGCCATGGTGCTCCCTTCTTAGGAGGGCTTTGTGCCTGGCGTAATGCTCTGCTACCTCCATCTTGAAATTTTTAATAGTATTTGAACAAAAGTACACATTTTTCATTTTGCACTGGGCCTCTAAAACTATGTAGCTGGTCCTCCACTTATGCTATGTTTATATAGTTGCATTTTCGTTGGAGCTTGGGATGACCTTGGTGAGACTGGAGGGGTCTTCACATGTAGCCTGAGATGCCTCACTCTTACTACACAAGTATTTGTTCTTCTGCTTGAAAGTAAGTGTGCTTAACATATTATGAGCATTTTTCATAATTTTGAGCAAGGTAATTTCTTGAGGCATCGTGATTTTTCCACATAAAGGGAATGAGAATTATTTGAAAAATAACTGTGCTTTATCTGAAGATCCTTCATCTAAACGTTGTTAGAAAATTATATCTGCTGGGTATTCTAAAAAGTTGTGTCAATGCTTATAAATGACTGACTTGATTTAAAATTCATTAAAGAGCAATTAACCAGTTTAAATCATTAAGGGGCAACTTGTACACCAAACAACGATTAGTTGAAATTATTTATGTATAATTCATACACTAGGAAAAAATTTTATATTTGGCTAAACATTCAAATTTTATTAAATCAGGGAAAATTATCTAGATAATGGGGATCAACTGTGTGCATAATTTTAATGCATATATAGTTTTTAAAAGGGTGCATGCTAGTCTTTATTGATTACAAAGTTAATTTGTCTAATAGAAAATACATATTTGAAATATATCTTAAACATCTTGAGAGTCATCTTTGCTATATTATGAGATAAATATTATTTTCTTCTCTTTGCACATATTTAAAATATTATATTAGAGTAAAATATGCATATACAGATGTACAAAACATAAGTATATGTACCAATAGATTTTTCAAAAAATGAACATACACAGAAAGAAAAAATATTATTGCTAACCTAGAAAGTTCCCCTGTTGCTCCTTCCACTCATCAATACCCAAGAAAGGCTAAACTCTATCCTGACTTATAATAATGTCATCTGTCCATTTTGAAACTTATTTAATCCAAAGCATAGAGTATACAATCTTTTGTGAACAGACTTCTTTGCTCAGTATTATGCTTGTGGTATTTATCCACATTGCCATAAATGGCAATGGTTCATCTTATTTTTATTGCTCAATAATATTTCACCTTATAATTCTAAAATTGGCTTTGCTTATCATAATGTTGTAGATGAAAAATTTAGTTTTTCCATTTGAACTGGTATTAATATTTTTGTTTGTATATACTTACTTTTCAAATTATTGAAAAAGATAATTTGAACTGCACTCTAAATGGAGAGGATTGTCTTATGGAGACATTTATCATAAGAAGCTTTTTTTCATGTAAGTTGAGTTTCTTTTATGCTATTTTCAAGACAAGAGCTATCACAGTTACATAGTACTTTACCATTTATAAGAATGCTGTCTAGATTTCTCCTTAGAACAATGTCTATTATTACTAGAATATGGATTTCATAACTTTCCACAGTTGGTATGTTCACTAGATTAAGGCAAGTCAACATTTTTACTGTTTTCCAGCACCATCACTTATGCATTTTGACATAAATGTAGTATCAAGACAAACATCCTGATGTGAAACTCTGCTCCAAATATTTTTAAACTGTTTTATTTAAGCATAAATCCTTTCTTATATAAAGTAAGACACCCAGGGTTTTGACACAGCTCTTAGTGCTTTTACAATAATTACTATATTTATAGTTATTCAGAAAAATTAATATTTCATTGAAAGTTTCAAACTGTGACTATCACATAATGAATTTAATAACATATGAAATGAAACAATGACATTGTCTCAAGTATTTTATTTTACTAATTCTTTTATAAATAGATGAGCAGGGTAGGTAAATAGCATAATAGGAAAAATTCAATTCCTTCGTCATTATTACTCAAACCAATATTTTATATTCTTCTTTTATTATATGCTAAAGGATCTCTTAGTATAAATAAATCATGACAATCTTCTCCAAGGTTTCCTGTATCCTACTTTAATTTGTCTTCTGATGGAGACTCTCATTGATTGATTGATTGGTTATTCATTTATTATTTTACATTTATTTACAAATAATTTCTGATGTCACACTCTGTGACAGTCTCCATTCTAGGCACTAGAAATGCAGAAATTCTCTTAAGGATTTATTCATTAATATAATTAATATTTATTGAAAGTCTAAAATTAGATTAAATCAGTGATGGTTCATCTAGAGCACCAGGCGATTTATACAAAATCAGACTCTCAGTGTAGGGATTTGACTTTACTCAATGAAGTAGCCTGGTTAAAAGGGCAATGCCAGCCGGGCTATATTTCTTTGTCTAGTTCTGAGCAGACTGCTGGGGGCAGAAATTGGATGCAAATTAGGAAAGAAAGAACAAACCAGAATTGGCTAGGCTGTTCTGAAAACTATAAGGACAGTTGGAACTTATGATGGTATTTCACCTCTTTCAATCCTCCAACTTCAGTGCTCCAGGTGTCCTGCAGGAGAAGCTGAAGTCTTACATGATGCTAGGCCCAAAAGTCAGAGAATCTTAAGCTGAAGATCTGGTCAGAGTGGTAGGAGTTGTAGATCCTGTTGCTCCCCTTTGAGCCAGCAGAAATGGCACACAAATGACAATGACCTTCTGCTTTTCATTGACTTTCTGTGTGTAAAAAGATGGCTGCAGCTTCACTCACCCTTCCAAATGAAGACCACAACATCTCTTGTAATCTATATGAATCTAAAATTATGTAAGAAAGGGGATACTGGGCAATTTGTTCCACCTTCACTAGGTTGACATAATTAAACCGGCCACACAGTTATTTTGTTATGAGCTGTGATTGCAATGATTAACAAGGAAGATATGGTGTCAGCCCTCATGAAATTTAATATCACTGGGCACCTTTCTCAGAGAAGGAGACATTTAAAAGCTCTTAAAGATGGAAATAGCACTGAGAGTGTGGGAAAGTTCTATCTGGATTTTCCTTAATGTCCTTGAGGATAGATTGCCCATAACTCACTCTTTCTGTAAGTATCAGCTCCTCAAACACTTTGGATAAATTCCAATATTTTGTTGAAAAGATATATTTTTATATATTCTATTTCCCCATCTATAGGAATATAGTTTCTTTATTATGATGATGTTCATCTTTTAATTTTTTTTTTACTTCATACATTTTTTATTATTCTCATATTCTGGACTATACTTTCTGGTTTTGTGCCATTGTTATAAATATTATTAATAAAATTATTATCTGTGTTTTTATGGCAGTGTAGTTGGAAAGAAAGAAAAGGTAAATATCTTCTGTTAGTGAGACAGATGTTAAATATTAAACATCTTAAATGTGTTTGTATTCTTTCTAAGTTTCATTTCCACCCAATAATAGTAATCTTTGCTTAACAAAAATAAGGATTGTTAACGTTTTGATAGTGTGGTTTTCAGGGAAGTAAATAGAATCAGTACAGAATGATTATCTTAGAATTTTGAGGTAATGTGGTATTTCTGTACATTTTTATTTTAATTTACACTGGTTCTTGACATGATGTCAAAAATTCTCATGATGTCATTATTTTTTCAAGTGATTCTGTAAAATTGCTACCTTGAAGGAAATGCAGATTAGGGATCAAATTTTATATTTCTACATTAGTGCATTTTAATTGTCTTTGCCTCCTATAAAAGACAAGTAGTATGAGTGCATGTGTATTCATACATACATACAAATGTGAATGTTTACATATGTAGATTTACACCCATATATATCATATCTTAATAATGTAAAGGTTTAATAATTGAATCCACCTTTCAAAACTGATGTTTTTTCTTAAGGAGGAAAAAGTGATTTTTAGCTGAATATTCATAATTATACTGAGAAATGAATAAAGTAGAGCAATTTCCGGTGAAAGATTACACATAAGCAAACAATATTTTTGTAACCTTGATGGAAAAAAATATTTTTTCGTTGATTTAAGTAATGTCATGTACCAGCCATATTATATCTATTTCCTCATATAGTATTTCATTTACATAAAAGAGTGGGTTTTATTATTAGTTAAAACTATACATATATATTATAAATACATTTTTGCTTGTATGGGGAATTTCAGAATAGCATCCTTAACCTATTCCATTATTTTTTCTTCTGAGCATAGCACTTACCACCTTCTACCAGATACTTATTGTATTTATTGTTTTTTTTTACTCTCTTCCCCCAATAGAATGTAAACTCCTCAAAGGCATAAAGATTTCTCTATTTTGTTCCCTGATAAAATCCAAGTATTCAGAAAACATATCTGGTACTTAAAATTTTTTTTTCACTTTTTTACTTCTCACTTTTTAAAAAATTTTACTCTAAGTTCTGGGATACATGTGCTGAACATGCAGGTTTGTTACAAAATCTGTATATTGATAACTGCGTTCATTCAGTTCTGATGTTAATGTTCCCTACATTCTCAACCTAAAGCACAACTAAACATTTGCTTTATGCCGTCGTGACCAATTGCTCATAAAGAACCAAATCAGATTTTTTTCTTATTTTTTAATTATTTTCTTAATGATAATAAGCTGTATTTTTATATTCCCAAAACTTTGCTATTAAACACAAATCAGATGTAGAAGCCAAAATGGTACCCATAAGTATAAATTTCAAACTTAAACAACTTTATAAGCTTTTTAATGGTTGAAGGAAGACATGTCTTTTTCTCTTTTCTCATCAAGATAAAAAGATAGGGTTTACATAACCTAAGATATTTATTTTTCTCCTCACACAAAATGATATTCAATTCTGAATATTTAGCAAACTTTATTGAGAATTTAGTTAATACCTAGTTATACTTACATAAAAGTTTTTCTTAGGTAATTTTGAAAATATCACACAAATTTTCATCTAACTGATATTTTAATTTTATCTAACTGAGAAAAAAGATGTCTGAGTCATTTATGGGAAAATAGTCTGATTTAATTTCTAAATTTACATGGGTAAAATATTAAACAGAGATTTTATTTAAAAAGAATGCAATATCTACTTCCAAATTAAAATCATAATAGTTTTTGAAATTCTATTAAATTTATGAATTGAAAAAAATGAATTTGATTTTAGTTCTTTGTCTCGTGGCATTGTCAAACTTGTTGAATTTCTACCAGTGTTGTCTACTCCATGCTTTCGAACTATCTTTCAGATGTCATTACAAATGTTCTTATTCTCATGAATTTAAACATATAAAAATTCCATATTCTCACCCTTTTGTTAATATTAAAGCAAATATACATATAAATGCAATAATTCACAAACCTCCCATTGATCAGATTCATACCTTCTAAATGAGAAAACATATATAAATTTATTGCATATATACACATCAAAAATCCCAGTGATTCTGAGTACTATAAAGTAACTAATGGAAATAAAGCCTTTAAATGGTTAAAGACATTTAGGCATTGGTGAGGAATGCAAGATTTTGCTCTAACTATATTTTATTAATTACAAGTGGTAACTGCTGCTGAAAACTTATGACGTTGGTTTTTCTTTTTTTTTGTAAGAGTTTCTGTTTTTGCCTTTTTAATAATTAATGGAGAGAAAGCCTTTCATTTCTGAGCAAGAATAATTTTTATTCTGCCACTGCCTTGTGGGCTAACACTAAGTATTACAAATATTTAGTTAAGAAAACTAAGCATACCTAGATATATCTTTTATGCATTGTTTGAGTTTATTAATTTATGTAATTAGAACATTACATTATCATGTAAGCTGCTCAGTGATTTCCTCTGAATTCTAGAAATAAATTGGGAAATGGCTATAGTTCAAATAGCAGTCTTAATGTTGAATTTTTGTATTTATCTTTTTGACATAACCAAAAAGCTTAATAATTGGTAGATTTCAAGATGTCTTTACGATATAGTAGAATGTTATAGATTATGTCAACAAATTTCATGAATAATTTAACTTGCAAATCAGAAATATTTAGGGGAGAGAGCCACTGGGAAACATTATTGTGGAAACTAGAGATTTAGAAAACAACACTAGTTACCTATCATTCTTTCTTAAATTTCAGTAGATAGCCAGCGGTAATTAAACAATTGAACAGATTCACAGACATAAAAGTTGAAAATCAAAATAACAAATAAAAAATGAAATTTAATAGAGAGGAAAGAGAAGGGAAAATTAAACAGTAACATTTCTAATTAATGTACTCAAATTTAAGGAGAATACTAAGCACAAAAAACAAAGGACAGATACCATCAGAAAAAAAAATTGAAGTCTTAAGTTACTAAAGTAAAAGTAACAAAGACATAGCTGATAAATCAATTAAGGAGTGTGTGTGTGTGTGTGTGTGTGTGTGTGTGTGTGTGTGTGTGTCTTGGCCAAAAGAAGAAAGAAAATATGAGAAAGTAAGACAAACAGAATTATACATTACCAGTTAAGGAAATACAATATTCAACGATTAGTAAGTCCCACAAAGTTAGGAAAGATAAAAAAGGCTAAAAATATCATCAAGTTAAGAGACATTATAAGCCAAAAGCCTCTCAAAATCGTTATATATTCACAGGCCTCATCTGGTTGTGTACCTAGTCAAATCCCCATGATATCTCAGTAGAAGAAAGAAGGAGGATCTTAAAACTTCAGGGAAGAAATAATTTCTTCAACGAAGACGATATAAGGTTGACACCAGAACTCTCATGAGAAAACTGTAAACCAGAAGACAATAACTTAACAACTTATCCGTAATTATTTCTAATCTAGATTTCTATACTCAGAAACTTTGTAAAGCTGTCTTTAGCTAAATGAGATAAAGAACTTGTATCTCCGTCAATCTATTATCTTAGGAAGTTACTTGAAGAAGTTTTCCATCAAACTGAAATAGAAAACCAAGAGAACAGAAGACATGGGCTCCAGAAAACAGTAGCTCCAATGTGAAAGATCAATACAGTTCACTATCAGGATGCAATCAGCTCATCCAGCCAAAAAATCAAACAGACCATATTTAGTGCAGGAAATTCAGAAACACCTGGAGGGGAATTTCAAGAAAAAACAAAGGAAAGCATGTAATGAATTGGATTGGATAATATATGGAGATGTTGGAAATAATAATATATTAAAGGCTATAAATACAAGAAAATCAATTAAACAATGATAATGGAATCATGAGGTGGAAAAGGAAAGGCTGCAATACCTGAACTTAAAAGTAGCAATTTAATATGAAGCAAAGGGAAGATTACATGGTAGTGAGCAACTAATGTAGTGTAACTAGAGAATCTATTTGACCTGGGTATCAGAAACATTTCCCTTAAGGGGCTAAAGAGTATTAACTCTACAAAGTGCACATGACCCTAAAACACTAAGTAATCTGTCATTGAAAAATAAAGTGTACATTTATTTGTATTCACTTTAGAGTTAACCAGTGACTAAAGCATAGGAACATTGGTTGGGGCCAAAAGGGAAAAGTGTGAATTCTGACAGCTTTAATCATAATTTTAAAAATGATTCAATAACTAATAGAAAGTAGAATATAAAAGGCTGAGTGTGATAAAGAAGGTGAGTGCAAGGGTAGTGGAAGTTATATTTCTGTTACAAAATGGGAAATTAGACATATTTTCAGACAGTCAAATTATTAAAAATACAAAGCAATCCAACAGTAAAACAGAAATTCAAATTCAGAGGAGAAAAGATAGGTGTAGTTAGCTTCAGTAATGTAAATCCTCATCTTTCATATTGAGAATTAAACAGCAATGGTCTTAAGTTGGTCATTAAAATGGTGTTGTAAACCTACTGTGTAGCATTATGGAGATATTCCCGTAAATAATAAAATACAAATTTGAGAAATATTATTACATTTACAAAGGTAAGAATTTGGAAATATTTGCTTTCCTTTAATAGCTATTCTGTAGTAGATAATTTACTGCTATTTGCATGCCTTATTTTGGTAAGAACTATATATGAATCATATATGCATTATTTATAGTTCATATACATGTTTTATATATAGTTCACATATAGTTTATATATATATATGAGAAACATAAATGTTTATCTTATATGTGCTCTTATTAGAAGAGCATGCCAAAGAGAAAATAAGGCCCTGAACTTGAGCAGGCCTTTAAAATGGAGAAAAAGGAATAAATTTCTATTTAATTAGGAAGTAGAATAGCTGCATATGGAGATTAATAATTAGAGTATAAGGAAAAAGTAAAACAAGATGTCCTGAATTTTTCATTTGTTCTGGATTCAGTGACCATTTTACACTGATTATTTGACATAGGGCACAGAACTAGAATTGGCTTGCAGTTAAATAGTTTAAAAGGTATAGTTTTGAATAGGGTAGAGATTTGAATTTAAATAATGATATGTTTTGGGGCATAATTTAAGAAGGATTTTGACAAGATTGGAATTGCAATGCAAAAATTTTTCCAATGTTTTTCACATGAGAAATCGAGGGAATTAAGAAAAAAATGCGTATTTAGTGTTACTTTTAGTGTTACTTATGTGACAATAATTTACATAATTCATCTCGTTTAATGAAAAAAAGTTAATTTACAATTGGTTAGAAGTAAGTTGCAGAACTGAAATTTGAAACTATGTCTCACCGACACCTTAGGTCATATATTTTCTTCCATACACATAACTTGGGTTTACGACCCCTTAAAAGAATGCTTATATAAACCTGCTTGCATATGTAATTTTATATCAGAAGCAGCTTTGCATTTGGGGGAGGGGAGAGCAGGAGGGGAAACATGAGAGCGCCAAGCATAGTAACCATTTACCAAAGAGGTGGGCAGGTACAACCAAGAAAATGTTATTAAAAGGTAAATAAATATGCACAAGCTATTATGACAAATTTTATTGAAAGCTGTGCTGGGAATTAGATAATATATTTTCTATCTATAATTTGTTATTAGCATGTGATATATTGTGTTTGTTTTGGATCTCTCAGGTGTTATACTATTCTAATATGTACAAGAGTAAAAATAAGATTGGCAGCTGCGGGGAGATGCGTGCAAAAGAGCATCAGTGAGAGGTAAGCAAGTCTCAAATTTATGATGTGATCAATTCAGAAAAAAATATAAAACTAACATGAGATATGGCTTTAAAATGTCTTTTTAAATAACATACTTTTTATAATTCCACCCTACATTAGACAACTGATTTGATCGCATTATTATGAAAGAAAATGAAACGTAGCAATTCAAAAGTTGTTATTAGGCTGAGCAGTTTGATGAATGATATGAAATCCAACGGGGGACAGAAAAAAACCACGAAGTCTTATGACAAAAGCACAGAATATCACAGTAAATAAAAATCATCCAGATTGTACTGGAATCTTCTTAAAATGTAGAGGCATCTTACATCAACATTTGCATCATATATGTTTTTCATTGAGCCAAGATGTATGCCTTTTCAGTAGCTGAACTAATTCACCAAACGTCTAGCAGAGGGTCAACCGAAAGAACGAACATATTCCTGCCTCAAACCTTTTCCATATATTGCTCCATCTTCCTAGATTAGAGCACAAGGCCTTTATAACGTTAATATGACAGACTTCTTAACATTCACGTCTAAAGCCAAATATAGCAACTCCAGCAGAGACTGTTTCTGATGGCTCCTTTTCTATCTGGTTTCTTCAAGTGAATTAAACCCTCTTGTTCTAAGATATTCATTGTTTTTATTGAATTATTTTCTTTCAAATGCACCTAGACTATGGCTAGTGATGAACCCTCTTGGGATTACTTGGAAAACAATCACTAATATCATTTTCTATGCCCTGTGGTATAGATGAGGAATGCTTTTTGATAAGGGACTTGTCTTCTGCTTTTTTTCCCCCATTTAGGTGATAATCCAATTCCCATCCCATTAATTTTCTTTAACATACTTATTAATGCCTGAATTCATCTTATCACTTTGTTAAGATGGTCATTTATTACCCGATCTCAGTGTAAACTCCAGAAAGAAGGAGCAGGATGTGTTTTCTATAGTGCTAACACCCCAGGGACAATTAGTAAGCACATAGCCCAGTACACAATAATTGAATGGTTTATAAATATTAATCAATATTTTCTCACTGGTTACCACAGTGACCATTTGAAAGCTCAACCTGGTGACAAGTAATTCTATTACTATGTTTTTCCAAAAGTGAGAAACAGATTTTAGTAAATCCTCTTATATACACCAATTTAACTTTGAGAAATTGCAAAGAAGTTTCCTTTGAATATTTGCCTAAATCACAGACTGGTTGCTTCTCCAATTTCTTCCATCACTTAATTTCCTTAATTACAATATTGTCACATATGCCTTCTAGCATAGCAGCTGGGAGGGGTACAATGATTGCTATCATTTGGACATTTTCTACAGCATGGGACTAATATGCCAAAGCGTTGCAATATTGCTGCTGTCATTGCTATTATAGTAGTGTTACAAGAATTCATTACAGTTAGGGAAATAATGACAGACATAGTTCATCTTCTTTACTGTAAGAAATGGTAGGAAGCCAAATTCACACAGATATATCCAAAAGCAGTTACTTCTGTGTGTATAAGTATATATGTGTAGAAACTTTTGCCACGAGAAGTACTAAACTTTATATGGCAATGTTATTAAAATAAAATATCAACACCACTGACTAAAATTAGATCTCAATTAACAGAAAATATAAATAATACTTTGAGAGTTTGAAAAGAATACGTGGTAAAATTCAGAAATATTAAAATTACATAAGAATTTTTGTTTGGAGTTTTTTTTCAAGAAAAGAAGAGGTGCTTTGGTATGTTATTCACATTCTCAGAAGTATTAGTTTATGCCATGTATTATACATTTCAAAATTGCCACAACAGAAGATTTTGAAAGTTAACCAAGCAAAGAAATGAAAGGGTTTGAGGTGATGAACGTGCTGACTACCTTGATTTAACAAGGATCAATGTATACATATACTGAAACATCACACTGTACCCCATAAACATGTAGACTTATTATGTGTCAATTGTAAACAAAATAAAAACCAAAAAGAGTAGAAGCCCTTAGGTGAGAGAGTGAGTTTGCATCATGTCTATTCTTTTTACTTACAATGCAGACAAAGTGCCCTTAATTTATGTATGTCCACCCGTAAAATAGTCATAGTATTAGTACATTCTTCATAGTTAAATAGGATGAAATAATTGAGGCGATAAATGCAAAATTCTTATCAACGTGTCTAGCATTCTGTAAATACCCATATAAGGTGTTTTTGACTCTTGATCTTCATCTCCAATCATTAATAGTGACCATTCTTTGGTTGGTCATTCTTTCTTCTGCCTAAATAAGGAAACTTTTTTTTTTTTCTTTTTGCCATAAGGAACTAGCTGAATAGTAATAATGATCTAATTATTATTGTCTGAAACCTAATTTGTAGTATAACTAGAGCAAAGTTCGGTCAGGGGAAAAAAGAGAATGTCTTATTTAATTAATTAGTTTTGCACATCATATATCTTGGCACATGAAGAATGCCAACTAGATCTGTTAATATATATGTAAATTTCACAGAGGCACACAACCTGCCAGGATTTTATTTGGTTGTGGTGGAGATAGTTGTGATTACTGTAATGTGATTTATTTGATTAGAGAGACATGTATTTTCTTCAGAAGACTAGAAACATTTTAGAAAAACTTGAATTTTCTATGAAAATTTAGTATTGTTATTATGAAATTTCATGTATCTATAAAGTATATCTCTTCCAAAGTTATAATAATTGTGATGTCCCTAGGAAATATATAGGTATAAATAAAATCTATTTTGAGTTAAATGTGAATAACCCAATTTATTTCTAAAAAATTAGATTTTGAAATCAGTTCATTCTTAAACATTAGCCAGACATTTTAGGAAAAAAAATTAAGTGTTAACAGAGTTTATAGCCTTGTCTTGCTCTTTCTATGGAAAACATTTTCTTTACCAGGTATACTATGATTTGAAAACAGAACAAAAAATACCATGTAGATTTACTTACTGAATTTCATGCTCCATCGCCTATTAAAATTTACCTTGAAACTTAAAAATAGGCTTAAATTTATTTAAAGAAAAAAATTAGACTGAGGTAGAACTTTGTACCATACTAAGTAAACCAAGTAAACTTTTCCTCAAAACAAAAATTTGACGACTTTTAAAGTAAGGCATGAATTATAATTAACAAATCACAAAGTACTATTTAATAACAGAAATTTTCTTACCATTATCATACCTACATAATAAGGCATGAATAATGCATGGCCTTTTGAAGTATGCTTCTTAACTCAGATTTAGTGAACTGATATAAATATTCAAGTTTGATCTTAAAAGAAATGGGGAAGAGACAAAGGCAGTAAAAATTAAGAAAGAGATAATTCCACTAACTTAAAAATGATTTAATCAAAACTATGAACATTTAATGCCTACTATATATAAGACACTTTCTGACGTGCTGGTAATAGATTTAAAGATAAATAAAATATTATCAAGGAATCTGAGATATAGAAGTCAACACACACATTTATACACATAGCTAATATCTAATGAGAGCAAATAATTAATATATGGACCTAACCAAATGGACAAGACATAACTACAATTCTGTAAAAATTAAATAATGATTTGCAAAACTCATAAGTTACAAATATATTAAGTTTGGCAATGCATATTTACAGTATCCAAAAATAATCCACAGTATTTCAGACATTTATCTCACCTAAAAATATTTCTTAGATTAGCTTTGAAATAAAATTGGAAGATATTTTAATTGTCATGGTTGCCTATTCTGCTGATACTGCTTAAATTAATTTATTTTCTTTCAATCACACAGAGTAGATAGAACACATTTTTTTTCTAAAATTGCATTCATTTATTTCCAGGTATAATTTGGGAGAGTGAGCCCTCAGGATCCAGAGAGGAAATTGTTAATATTATTTATTATATCCTTAGGGCCATATATACACAGGGCAGAAGAGAACTAATTATGCCAAAGAAATGTTCTTCCCTATGGACTTGACACAATAATGGAGCCTCTGATTTCTTTCAAAAAGTAACAAGCTGAAGAGGTTTAGTAGAAGCCATTTTTATTAGAAGGCTTGAAGGAATTACAGTGTTTTGGACAAGGAACACAAAGAAAATTGAAACTAAGTTTTGTATATTTCAATTTAAAGTCTGCTTTAACAGGTAAAGTAGGGTAAAGTAGTGGAAATTTGATAATACGCAAAAATGTTTCTATATTTTGCAGAAAGAAACCTGGAGAAATTGTAATAGGATGTAAAAGTATGTATATAATTTAGAATTAACAGGAAAAAAAAAACTCAGTGCCTTAAAGAAGGAGCTGATTTCATTTACATCACATAGGATAAACTAATAGAATTTTAATATTAATACCTTCAGTACAGTGAATTAATCTCAGGATAACCGTTTAAATGTTTAGCTAGTTCATTTTAAAATAGAAGGTGTAGTACTTTACTTACTGTATAGCCTAGAGATTGCACATAGAGATGAAGGATTATGATATTAAATCTAGAAACACATGTCTTTATGTTTGGGGGCAACCTAAGTGTATATGTATAAGGTGACAATGTGTGTATGATTATGACTATTTATTAACCATCACTATGAAAATGTAAAATGTAGTGAAAGTATTTGTATAACTTAACTGAACCACTATGAGTTTTTTGTTTTATTTTGTTTTTTCAAGACATGCTCTTCCTGTGTCATCCAGGCTGGAGTGCAGCGGTGCAATCACGGCTCACTGCAGCCTTGAACTCCCAGGTTCAAGTGATCCTCCCACCTTAGCCTCCTGTGTAGCTAGGACTACAGGCATGCATCACCATGCCCCATGCCACCACGGTTACCACACCTTGCTAATTTTTGTATTTTTTGTAGAGACGGGATTTTGTTAGGCACACCCAGGCTGATCTGGAACTCTTGGGCTGAAGCCCACATCCTCTTATAGTGCTGGGATTACAGGTGTGACCCACTGTTCCTGACCACCTCTATGAATTCCTAAATATACTATATGAATTACGCTATTTTCCTTTGTCTGTATTCACAAGTGACATTCACCTGATGATTTACATATTTTATTTTGCGTATATTTTCTTTTCTTTGTTCACAAAGAATATAGAAATGACAATACGTGTTAAGTAGGTCCCATTTCTTCATTCCATTGTGTTTGATGTTTTAGTATCATTGGTAACATTGTTTTTTTGTCAGAACATTCTTGACTATACAAGAGTCGATCATTTAAAGCTACTTTCATTATAATCTTCTAAAGTACTCTTAGGAGATAATCAGGAAAAAACATACAGATAAATATATAGATATGTTGCGGGAAATCAGGGATTCTGAACAGAGGGACCTGCTGAAGCTGTGACAGAATAACATAAATTGTGAAGATTTCATGGACATTTATTCATTCCCCAAATTAATACTTTTATAATTTCTTATACCTGTCTTTACTACAATCTCTGAACATAAATTGTGAAGATTCCATGGACATTTATCACTTCCCCAATCAATACTCTTGTGATTTCCTATGTCTGTCTTTAATCTATTAATCCCATCATCTTCATAAGCTGAGGATGTATGTCGCCTCAGGACCCTGTGATGATTGTGTTAACTGCACAAATTGTTCATAAAGCATGTGTGTTTAAACAATATGAAATCTGGGCACCTTGAAAAAAGAACAGGATAACAGCGATGTTCAGGGAAAAAGGGAGATAACCATTGGGCCTGACTGCCTGAGGTGCCAGGTGGAACAGAGTCATATTTCTCTTCTTACAAAAGCGAATAGGAGAAATATCGCTGAATTCTTTTTCTCAGCAAGGAACAGCCCTGAGAAAGAATGCATTCCCAGAGGGAGGTCTCTAAAATGGCCACTCTAGGAATGTCTGTCTTATACGGTTGTAAACAAGGGATGAAACAAGCCCCAGTCTACCGTAGGGCCCCCAGGCCTATAGGATCAGGAAATTCCTGCCTAGTAAATTTTAGTCAGACCGGTTGTCTGCTCTCAAACCCTGTCACCTGATAAGATGTTATCAATGACAATGCGTGCCCAGTGGGACATGAAAGTTAATTAGCAATTTTAATTTCATCCTGGTCCCATGATCTCGCTCTGCCCCCATTTGCCTTGTGATATTTTATTGCCTTGTGAAGCATACAACCTCTGTGACCCACACCCTATTCATACACTCCCTCCTTTTCAAATCCATAATAAAAACTTGCTGGTTTTGTGGCTTGGGGGCATCACGGAACCTGCTGACATATGATGTCTCCCTTGGACACCCAGCTTTAAAATTTCTCTGTTTTGTATTCTTTCCCTTTATTTCTCAGACCAACCGACACTCAGGGAAAATAGAAAAGAACCCACGTTGAAATATCGGGGGCTGGTTCCCCCGATATAGATATATTTTTAAAATCGAAGAGACATTATAATGTTATTTTATTGTATCTCTTATTGAATGGGACTTTCCTTTCTTTCTTTCTTTCTTTCTCCCTCTCTCTGTCTCTACTTCTTCCTTCCTTCCTAGCTTCTTTCCTTCCTTGCTTCCTTTCTTTGTTTTCTTCCTTCTTTGGATATTGCTGTGAACACAGCGTATAGACAAAGTAAAATCCTCTCTGCTAAAATCATGTGTTTATGCACATAATAGGCTAACACTATGGATATGCAATCTACCATTTGAAAATAGTTCATTCCAGACTAATCTCACTTTATTCACGATTGTTATATCTTGACATATGTCCCCCCAAAACTTCATATGTTGAATTGTATTCCAAAACGTCAGACTTTGACTGTCTTTGGACATAGGACCTTTAAAGAGGTCATTAATTTAAAATGTCTTTAGAATAGACCCTAATCCAGTATGATTTATCAGAAAAGGCAATTAGGATACACAGTGGGTCAACCTATGTGAGGACACAACTAGAAGGAGGCCATCCTCAAGCCAAGGAAAGGGGCCACAGAAGAACTTAGCTTGCCAATGCCAACACCTTGATCTTAAACTTCCAGGCTTCCGTAATTGTGAGGAAGTATTTTTACGTTGTTTAAACTACCCAGTCTGTGTTATTTTGTTACAGCAGACCTAGTAAACTAAAACAACAACTTAGATGCTTGTGCGTTTAAAGGTTGTAACTTTAACATGCTTTCTTTTTGTTCATTCACTCTCATGTATGTGTCTGCATTCTCTTAGGTTAACTTTTTCACATGTATGACTTTGAGTACAATCTTATTGCTGCTGATGCCGACCAAACCTTAGCCTCTAATAATTTAGACTCATATAAAACTGATTAATGGATATATAATTTATTGTTGCATGGGTTTCACAAACTCAGGATGTCCCAAATGAATTCTTCATTTTTTCTACAATTCTGTTCATGTGCTCGCATACTTTCTACAGCAGTAAGTGGTGGGATATTCTAGTAAGTAGACCAAATATGGGAATCTATAATTTCTGTGGCAAGTGCATAGTCTATTAATTACTATAATGTGATCTTGTCCAGTTGCACAAGTCCCCCAATTATAATTGTCTCCCATTATTTTATATTTAGTCTTGAAATTTCACTTATAAATAAAAGAATTAGTTTTTCAAATTTAATATAAACAAGAAACCAATACCAAACTAAACAAGCACAAAACAAATAAAAACGATTATAATATTTATTAGGATTGCCTGGAATGTAAACATAAATATGAGTATAGTTAATATCTAAATGATATTGAGACTTCATAGTAGCCATGAAATTTTTATATATTTTAAATTATTCAGGTGTTATTTTCTTTCAGTATAGTTTTATAATTCTCTGGATACCTTTCTTAAATTTATTATTGAATTTATGCCTATGCATTTTATATTTTTATTAAAATTATAAGTGACATCCTCTATTAAAGAATATTTTCTAAATGACTATTGCTGGTTTATATAAATGTAATTTATTTTTGCATTTAATTTATATTTAATGTAGGTATTTTGAGTTTTCTTTGTAGGAGATAATATAAACTGCCAATATTCATGCTTTTTCTTATTAAACACTTTATACCCATTATTGATTTTTCATTATGTACTCCACAATATCTTTTATTACAAAGTTGTTGTTATCTTTTCTATTGTTCAGGTTTTAATGAAATTCTTAGTATTTTACTGTGATGTTTACTGAAGGTTTTTGTAAATACCCTTCATTACGTTAAGTAAGTTTTCTTCTTTGATATGTGGTAAGAATTTTTATTATGAAAGCATTTTAATTTGTTCAAAGCTATTTTCTGCTTCTATCAACATGACATTATGCTATTACTTTTCCTTAATTATTAACATGGTGAATATATTTTATTAATTCTGTAATATCAAACTTTACATCCTTATAAGTAATGTAAAACAGGATGTTTGATTTATTGATATTAGGTTAACTGCTTTTTTTTAACCTGATAATTTAAGTACTTTTAAAATCATTTGTTAAACCTCAAGAGAAATGTATCAAGATTTCATTGTTCTCATAGTTATTTAAAGATTAGTAGCCCTCTTAAGTTCTCTGGAAAATTACTATACAATTCTAGTATATATTTTTAAAACTGCTTCTCATCTTGAAGCAATAAAGCATTTGAGAAAAACACTAGAATCAAGTTCTATCATCTCCAATTAGAATCTTTGTAGTTTTAGGAACAATTTTTCTGCCTCAGTTTTCTCATCTACAAAATAAGGATAAAATATTACTTATATACATTGTTGTTTTGAGAATAAAATAATGTACTATAATAGTGTATTTTATAACTGTACATAAATAAATGAAATGCTATTGTTACATATAATTACTATCTTGTGTAATTAAGTTCTGGTGTATTTCAGTTAAAACTACTAAATAAACATTTAAAAATGAGGATAAAGAGACTTTTCTAATGATATTACTCTTTTATCATCTTTTCCATTTAAATAGGCATATATTAGAAATACTAATTTTCAGAAACTAGACAATCATGGAAAAAATTATACTCTGTATGTATATGTATAATATTTGTATGTTCTTAGAACTGTGGACTAATTAAAGCTTTTGTAGTTATATGGATTTTCTTACTAGATGATTAATTTCTTAATGTTCTTTAAAGTTTTCTTTCTCTTGTAACAAACATTATATATACATTTTAAAATATTATTATGGTTTCATGTCACGAATGATAGTAAACAGCTGAGCTATCTCATTTGATATTAAAAAATTAGGATTGTGAACCAATAATTAATTCACAAAATTACAACAATAAATTTCATAAGTCTGTATATTCATGAACTCCAGAATAAAATATGAAACTATACAAGGAAAACATTAACTGAAAGCAAAGTAGCAAGATGTTATCAACGTTTTTTGCTCATATCTACCTCACCACATTGCCAATACAAATACAATTTTTAAAGTAAGACCTTTATAGAAATTGATCCAAATACTTTTTGCAAGTACACAGAGTATTCCTAAATAAATACAGCAGAAGCTTCTCCATTCCTTGAAATGGTAAGTTAAAAGAAAAATCACCTCGGCCGGGTGCGGTGGCTCAAGCCTGTAATCCCAGCACTTTGGGAGGCCGAGGCGGGCGGATCACGAAATGTCAGGAGATCTAGACCATCCTGCCTAACACTGTGAAACTCCATCTCTACTAAAAAATACAAAAATTAGCCAGGCGTGGCGGCTGGCGCCTGTAGTCCCAGCTACTCGGGAGGCTGAGGCAGGAGAATGGCGTGAACCCGGGAGGCGGAGTTTGCAGTAAGCCGAAATGGCGTCACTGCACTCCAGTCTGGGCGACAGAGCAAGACTCTGTCTCAGAAAAATAAAAAAGAAAAAGAAAAATCACCTCATATTTTTTGTTGCATGGGGCTAACCCGGCGTATCACAAGGTATATAACCATTTCTGACAACCCAAATTTTTAATTTTTTTCTATGTAGGAAAACACAAGAAAAATGATATTTAATAAACCTCCAACATTTTATGCTCACTATTGCACCCAAACCAAAAATGTGTAACCCAAAACCTGAAATGTAAATACAAAATAAATTTGCAATGAAAATGAAAATATAGTCTTACTTTTATTTCTAGAGCTATGACTTTAATTCAGTACATAAAGCATTTACTGAGCAATTCTACATATGGTATTTTAGGAACCAGAAATAAAAATATGAAAAAAATCTGTCATATAGGTAAATAAAATGCATGGTTACACAAAAATAATAGAACTATGTACTGGATAGTAGTACTGAGAAAGACCAGGTCCATCCTGGTGAAAGATGTCATGCAGAAGAGGTAAGGATTAAAAATTAGGGCAGCCATGTGATTTACTATTCAAACCAGGATGGCTTTTTGTTTTTTGGGGTAGATGAACATTAAAATAATTACAGTTATATTAATTTATAAACATGTATTTAAACACAAATAAATTAACTCTATTAAGCAAAATGGTCCATTTCAAAAACTGTTTCCACACAAGAAATTTGGTCATAAAATAACATATTTATACACATATTATATATTCATGTATATATATATGTACCTTATGGATAATTAAAATAATATTAATATTGATTTTCTGAATATTAAGAGTAACATAAGAAGGTAGTTATTCTTGGTACATATTCATACATTTCTTTTCAGCTTCTTAGACAAATTTCTTCCTAAAATCATTTTTATATTTTATACTGGCATTATCATAAAAATGTGTATTTTTCATTCAATATAGGTTTATAATTTTGTTGTTACCATAACCTCACCTCAATGTTCTTTTAAGTTGCATTGCATGATTAATTTAAATTGTTTTCATTTTCAACTTTAATTTATTCATGTACCATTATAGCTTTGAGAAAATACTTTTTGTCTCTTAGGTGTTCAGGTACTGATATATTCAGAAAAACTTCTACTAGATGGAGGATACTCTCAATTCTAATTGTTATACAGAAGTGTATAACTACTTTGGCCTAAATATTTAAATGGTTACTGAGTTTTTCACTTGTTTGATGAAACATATTGTATGAGCATTTTGTATGAACTATGAGTATGAAACACATTGTATGAGCATTTGTTTGATGAAACACATTGTAAGTCAAAACTCATCACATAAGTTGTCTTTATTTATCATTTTTTGAATGTTTACCAAAAGTAAATGCTATAAAATTACAGGTCCTTTCAATTTCATTTCATTGTTTTATAGAATATAAATTTCCAATTAAAAATAGAAACTTCATTAAAAGATTAATTCCATGTTTAGTTGTAGTTATTTATATTAAATATTTTATGTCTTTGGAATCTCATATTTTAATGGCTTGCAGTTACCAGCTTGCTATTATAAGGAAAAATTATGAAGACCTCATATTGGCAAACTTTGCTTTCAATAATAAAAGTTCATAAAAAGCTTTCAAGTCTGAAGTATTTTTGCGCTCTATCTGTTCAATAACTTGAGGGATTTCCAGCGGATTTTTAGCAAGATCTAACCAAAATGTAAACACAATTACTTTACATTTTAAATACAGTTGCAGGTAAAGTTGCTAGATTTAGAAGGAAAAATAATGCACCCAGTTAAATTTCAACTTCTTATAAAACGATATTTTTTTTTTACTAACAGTATGACCTGTGTAATGTTTAGGTTGTAAGTAGTGTAAAAAGTATTTTTTAATCTAAATTGAGATTTAACCATGCCTCCTATATTTTATTTGGTAACCCCAATGTAGGACACATTTGTTGATTCAAATATTAATTCTTTAAATTAGAAATCCATTCTAAGATAGAAAATATAGTGCATATTGCCACGCTAAATTATTTCTTAAAATATATTTAATACCAGCTTCATCACAGAAATTTTGTATTTTCATTTCTTCAAATTAGGAATCCAAAAAAGTAGACCTACATACCAAATCTGGCCCACCACCTGTTTTAGTGCAGCCCATGAGCTAAAAATGGTTTTTACATTTTAAAATCATTTGAAATGGAAAAAAATATTTTGTGACATTTACAAGTATATAAAGTTTAAAATCAGTGTATGCAAATACATTTTTATTGAAATATATCCATGCTCATTCATTTATGTATTTTTGCTTTCTACAGAAAAAGTTGGCCAACTCTGTTCTAAAATATATATCTGTGTGTGTGTGGTGTACATATGCATGTGTGGATTTTGAAAACCACAGTTTCTATTTCAGATGACAGGATATCTCACCTTACTAATAAGCTATCTTGTTTCTTATTAGATTTTTATTTACCACAACGTGATTTCCTGCCAAATTTTACCAGTATATCATCACTTTAACCCAAATGTCCTTTCTTTCAAATTAAACTTTACTGAATTTGAAACAACCATAAAATTAATGTCAAACATTTTCTTTGATTTAAAAAAGCCAAAACTTCCTACCACTCTACTTAAATTGATGTTTTGAATGAAAAAGATTAATGGAATTAACAAATACTGTTTGTGAGTCATGTAATTATAGTGATATAAAAGTAGAAATATTAAATTATTTGTGAAATTCTGCTTTAAACAGAACCAAAACATGAAAGACGAGCAGCACCTCTTAGCATGAGCCTGGTAAATCAGGATATAAAATATGAGTATAATCTATTTCAAAGTCTTTTTTTTTTTTTTTGAGATGGAGTCTTGCTCTGTTGCCCAGGCTGGAGTGTAGTGGCATGATCTTGGCTCACTGCAAGCTCCACCTCCCAGGTTCACGCCATTCTCCTGCCTCAGCCTCCCGAGTAGCTAGGAGTACAGGCGCCCGCCACCACCCCCGGATAATTTTTTTGTAATTTGGTTAGAGACGGGGTTTCACCTTGTTAGTCAGGATGGTCTCGATCTCCTGACCTCGTGATCCGCTCGTCTTGGCCTCCCAAAATGCTGGGATTACAGGCGCGAGCCACTGTGTCTGGCCCAAAGTATCCTTTTTTAAAAAAGTCTTATGTCAATGAATAATACATTATTACACCATGGGCTGCATATATTTTTGTCATTGGTACAATTATATTGTCAAATAAAAATAAATCCAAATTACATAATGTGGCACTTTACATAGAAAGAAGATTCCCATAAGAAGAACACTTCTAACTCAGGAACTGTAAGTATCTCAAAATCAAACCGGCAAAGGTTTTCCTGTAACAGGGAAGGGTAAGTAGTGAGAAAGAGGATGCTGGGAAGATGATGGTGTGTATGTAGACTGAACAACTGGCAACCTTCAGCAAGAATGTGTTCTACTCTGGATAGTAGATTCTGGGGATGAGCTAAGAGGGCACACTCCTTATTTTATTGCTTGCTCAGGCTTGGGGCAACCTGAAGTTCAAGGATCTATGAGCAGGAAAGAAGCCTACTAAAGTTTGGTCAAGACAAAGTAAACAATTGCGATCATTTGATAAACATCAAACTTGAATAAATAATTTTAAAATAAATGCTAATAGTTCATCAGTAGATTTGTAATCACCGCTTTTCATTGTGATGAGATATTTCACACCAATGGTTGATGGCAAATTTTGACATGGTTTCTGACAAAATTATTTATTCTTCATCAATTTTCTTAGGCATGATTTCCATAAATGCTGGAAAAGAATATTAAAACTGTCCAAATACTGATAACCTGATTATTATGTAGACATATTAAAATAATCTACTCACAAAATATGTATTTCTTTTCTTTTGTAAAAGAATTCTCAAAGATTAGCCCTTAGCCAGAAACTAAACCTGCATTCTGAGATTCTAGATCAATGAAAGATGAAAATATAATACAAACCACTTAGATAATTTTAAATATCTTATACCCATATTAACTGTAGGATGCAATATTGCTAAGGTATTAACATTTCTCCAGTTTGATCTATAGATATCAAGACACAATCAAAATCTTACTAATATTTTTACAGATGTTAACAAGCAGGATTTAACATTTATATGAAAAGTCACTAGAATAACCAAGATAATTTTCAGTTTGAAGAACAAAGTTGAAGGATTCACATAAATCAATTTCAAAATTATCATAATGATATAGTAATAAAAATAGTGTGGTATTGGCAAAAGGACAAAAATATTAATGGAAACAAAGGAAAGTTTAATAGATACTGAGGACTACTAGAGGGGACAAGTGGGGGAGGCAAGGGTTGAAAAACAATGTAATGCCTAGGTTTTCTTCTAGGGTTTTTATGGTTTTAGGTCTAACGTTTAAGTCTTTAATCCATCTTGAATTAATTTTTGTATAAGGTGTAAGGAAGTGATCCAGTTTCAGCTTTCTACATATGGTTAGCCAGTTTTCCCAGCACCATTTATTAAATAGGGAATCCTTTCCCTATTGCTCGTTTTTCTCAGGTTTGTCAAAGATCAGATAGTTGTAGATATGTGGCATTATTTCTGAGGGCTCTGTTCTGTTTCATTGATCTATATCTCTGTTTTGGTACCAGTACCATGCTGTTTTGGTTACTGTAGCCTTGTAGTATAGTTTGAAGTCAGGTAGTGTGATGCCTCCAGCTTTGTTCTTTTGGCTTAGGATTGACTTGGTGATGTGGGCTCTTTTTCGGTTCCATATGAACTTTAAAGTAGTTTTTTCCAATTTTGTGAAGAAAGTCATTGGTAGCTTGATGGGGATGGCATTGAATCTGTAAATTACCTTGGGCAGTATGGCCATTTTCATGATATTGATTCTTCCTACCCATGAGCACGGAATGTTCTTCCATTTCTTTGTATCCTCTTTTATTTCATTGAGCAGTGGTTTGTAGTTCTCCTTGAAGAGGTCCTTCACATCCCTTGTAAGTTGGATTCCTAGGTATTTTATTCTCTTTGAAGCAATTGTGAATGGGAGTTCACTCATGATTTGGCTCTCTGTTTGTCTGTTATTGGTGTATAAGAATGCTTGTGATTTTAAAACCCTGGAAGAAAACCTAGGCATTATCATTCAGGACATAGGCATGGGCAAGGACTTCATGTCTAAAACACCAAAAGCAATGGCAACAAAAGCCAAAATTGACAAATGGGATCTAATTAAACTAAAGAGCTTCTGCACAGCAAAAGAAACTACCATCAGGGTGAACAGACAACCTACAAAATGGGAGAAAATTTTTGCAACCTACTCATCTGACAAAGGGCTAATATCCAGAATCTACAATGAACTCAAACAAATTTACAAGAAAAAAACAAACAACCCCATCAAAATGTGGGCAAAGGACATGAACAGACACTTCTCAAAAGAAGACACTTATGCAGCCAAAAAACACATGAAAAAATGCTCACCATCACTGGCCATCAGAGAAATGCAAATCAAAACCACAATGACATACCATCTCACACCAGTTAGAATGGCAATCATTAAAAAGTCAGGAAACAACAGGTGCTGGAGAGGATGTGGAGAAATAGGAACACTTTTACACTGTTGGTGGGACTGTAAACTAGTTCAACCATTGTGGAAGTCAGTGTGGCGATTCCTCAGGGATCTAGAACTAGAAATACCATTTGACCCAGCCATCCCATTACTGGGTATATACCCAAAGGACTATAAATCATGCTGCTATAAAGACACATGCACATGTATGTTTATTGTGGCACCATTCACAATAGCAAAGACTTGGAACCAACCCAAATGTCCAACAATGGTAGACTGGATTAAGAAAACGTGGCACATATACACCATGGAATACTATGAAGCCATAAAAAATGATGAGTTCATGTCCTTTGCAGGGACATGGATGAAATTGGAAATCATCATTCTCAGTAAACTATTGCAAGAACAAAAAACCAAACACTGCATCTTCTCACTTATATGTGGGAATTGAACAATGAGAACACATGGACACAGGAAGGGGAACATCACACTCTGGGGACTGTTGTGGGGTGGGGGGAGGGGGGAGGGATAGCTTTAGGAGATATACCTAATGCTAAATGACGAGTTAATGAGTGCAGCACACCAGCATGGCACATGTATATATATGTAACTAACCTGCACATTGTGCACATGTACCCTAAAACTTAAAGTATAATAAGAATAATAATTAAAAAAAAAGAAAAAAAGAAAAACAATGTAGTGGGTATTATGCTCACTACCTGGGTGACAGGATCGATTTTACCCCAAACCTCAGCATCACACAGTATACCCATATAACCAACCTGCACATGTGCTCCCTGAATCTAAAATAAAAGTTGAAAAAGAAACAACCAAAAGGAGAACTCAAAAATATACCTTTATATAGGCAACTGATTTTTGATAAAAGTTCAAAGTCAGTTTCATGAAGAAAGGATTTTCTTTGCAATAAATTTTGTTGGAACAATTGGATGTCCATATGCAAAAACTATCAATCTCAACATATATCTTACAACTTGTATAAAACTTGTTTGCATAGAGTATATGTATTTGTTTGCTGAGGTTGCCTTAACCAAATACTGTGGGTTAGATGGCTTCAACAACAGAAATTTATTTTCTTACATTTCTGGAAGTCCACAATTAAAGTGTCAACAGACCTGGTTTCTCCTGAGTCTTCTCTCCTTTACTTGCAGATAGACCCCCTCTAGCTGCCTTCTCACATGGTTGTGCCACTGTGCATGCACATCCCTGGTGTCTCTTGTGTGTCCAAATTTCTATTTTCCATATGGATACCAGCCAGATTAGATTAGGACCCACGCTAAGGGCCTCATTTTAACCAATTACTTGTTTAAAGTCCTTATCTCCAAATACATTCCATTCTTATGTACTGGGGATTAGGGTTTCAACATATGATTTTGGGGGGACACAGTTCATTCATAACAATACATAACATATATCTTAGATCTACATGCAGAATATACAACGTTTGTATTTCTAGAAGAAAATAAACATAACAATATACACGACATTGGCTTTAGTGATGAGTTTCTATATATAACACTAAAAGTACCATCCAAGAGAGAGAGGAAAAAAAATCAGATGAATTGGAATATATTGTGAAAGAACTTCAAAGACAAGCCTCAGATGGGGAGAAAACATTTGCAAGTCCCATGTCTGATAAAAAATTTGTATCCAGAATTTATAGAGAGCTCTTAAATACATCCATAAGACATATAACAACCCAATTAATAAACGGAAAAAAAAAGATGTGAACAGGCAGTTAGTAAAAGAAGTCATATGGATGGCAAATAAGCATGTGAAAAGATGATAAAGATTATTAGTCATTAGAGAAATGCAAATTAAAAGACATGAGACACCACTATGCAAATACCAAAATCACTGGGATAGAAAATATATCTATCTGTCAGGAGTTGGAGAAGGGTCAAGGAATTCACTGCCAGGGGCTGTACAGGGGCATTTTTACAGTGATTGAATGTTTCTGTGTAGCACTGCGAGGGTGGTAGTGTAAGCATTTACCAAAACCCATAAATCTCTATAACACAAGTAATGAATTTAATTCTTTGCAAATTTTTAAAAAAATCTGCCAATATTTTGGAGTATCTCAAGGTGAAATGAAGACCATAACAAATGAATCTAACTATAGTACAAATACGGTTGAAAAGTGGTTCCCAGGAGTTAGGATAAAAGATGCTACACTAAGTAACTCTGGGAAACAGGGTTTTCATTGGATGGTCTAGGGCTAATTTATTTTAAATTATACATAAACAGAAATGTCTTTTGCATAGTAACATTTTAGTGATGCGGCCTTCTTGTTTACTATTACCTCACCCACTTTGTCTTCATTTTGTATTACTTATCTCTTGTTGTCTGTATGGTAAGATGAATCTGGTGCAAAATTTACTTGAAAAGCAAAGATATCTTCTTTTGGATTGCCAAGATCAAAGTAAAATAGAACCCAAAGGAAAACAGAAGGCAAAAAGGTTCATTCGTCCCCAGCCCAAAATAGTTTTCAGGTTAAGTGAATATTCAAGAAATGTGGTACCAAAGCCGAAAATACAAATCGTGATTTTATTTAGATAAACACATATGTTTTTTATTTGTATATGTAAGTACAGATTATGACAATATTTAGATATGTCTTTCTACACATTTGGATAATTTACTATTACATATTTGTAAGTTTAAAAATGATTGTACTTACAAATAACATATAAATACATCCTTCAGTATCCTTTTGGCATATATTTATACTGAACCATAATCTACCGGTTTATGAGGATTTAGAGTTTTTAATCATGTTGAGAGATGACAGAGAGTGAATGTCAAGTTATATCATGAGGTAGTTTTTGACTTCCTAATTTTGCCATAGACTTGCATTCATTTAGCCCTCAGCTTTCAGTAATAGTCCCAAACAAAGACTCTAGTTCTATCGCAATTTTGTCACCAAGATAGATTTCTTGAAAATATTTCAACCAGAAAGAACAGTAGTACTCCTTTTAGATGTGGCTTCTATTTCTGTGACAGCTGAAATCAATATTTAGGGTAAATTTTGTTTCTGCTGTTTTTGCTTCATGGTGATACAATGTCAAATAATTAAAATTGACTAGGAAAGTAAGATAGTTACCTATAAGTTCGATCAAAAAATAAAACTGCTCCAAAAATCACATTATGGCAGTATTTAGGGCATATAGACTCAGCTCACTATAGCAACTTATAAAGAATATAGCAGCAATCCCTAACTTGTAGGTTAATGATTGTATTAGAATTCCTCCAGGCAGAGAAAAAAATAAGTGCTTTTGAAAGAACGATGCACAATTTGTCATGAACTGATACAGAAAAGGGACTTTGGAGAGTAAATGACCACACATTTAATTGGATTTTGTGATAGTACATAGGTAGCTTACAATAAACCATCAATACATGTTACCTGGCATGAAAGTAACTCAAGGAAGTATTAATAGCAGCATTAAAGGGGAAGGCAGAATACATGAAAAATCGATGAATCCAAGGCAAATCAGAATTAAGACTGGGGAAAGCAATTCCACGCTGTATCAGTAGGGCATAAGAAAAAAAAAAAGATTATACAGGAGATTCACAGAAAAAGCAAACAAAACAGGTATCATGGAGCAGCTGAGGACTAGAGAACAAGTACTGAAATTTATTTTGCTCAATTTAACGGGATAAATTTTGTTTTATGTTTTATGTTTGCTTTTATAAAAATAGAATTGAAACAAAAAGTGGATATGTTACAAAAAATCCTTACAAGTGTTTAAAAAAGTGGTTAGCCAATAACTAATAGTTTGATGATTTTTTACCTTTAATAAGGGAAATTCCAGAGAAAATAAGGTAAAAATCACCAAAATTAATGTATAATGCATACAGTTCTCACTTATAAAGTGCTTAAAAGCCTTAAAAACATCTACAATTTTACAATCTTTAAAAACATTTTCCTTCAAGTAACTCTTTAGAGCGCCAGACCATTGAAGAAGTCAATATTTTCCAAACATGAAAGTCTTTTCTGTGCCAATCAAAATTCAACAATATTAAATTATTGAGCATAATCTATTTAAAAAAAGTTACAGGTAAAAATGAAGTCACTCTCAGTTCATGCTATGATTGATACAAAAAAGAAAAATAGCTTAAAATGTGTATTTATTTTCTTAAAAGACTGAAATACATAGAAGGATATATTTAAAAGAAATAGGCATCAGGAACCAAACTAAACTCTATAATAGATAATATTTACTAAGACATCACTCTGTTACAAGCATTGCGACAATAATTTTATATATAATATCATGTTTAAGCCACAATATTATTAGAGATATAAAATTATTGCTGAAAATACATACCTAAGGAGATCAAACAACAGAACTGTGGAGTCCAGTCCTGGAGTTTCTAAATGCAATGCTTGGACACAAACTTAACTCATCTGTTTCTATAGTCTGTTCTTAGCTAATATAATCTATTCCCATTTTTAATACACAATGTTTTTTGAAATCTTGTGTTCTATACATATGTAGAAATACACAAATTATACTTATATGATATATATCTATTTCTATCAAAATGCCCATAATATTCATTAAAAATAGTTTTGAGCTGGGTAAAAGTGACTTTAATAGATTAATTTATCCTAAATTAAGTATATCTTATAACAAAAATCATTGTAATATCTGAAAATAATATTGACTTCTGCATGTATAATCAAATTAAAATGCTGAGAATAAACATAAATATCTTCCTTCTATTGTTTAAAATGTCCTTGCTGAAATATTAGAATTTTGACATGAACTCCCAAGGAAAGGCAGAGCTAAGATCCACATTATTTAATGTTCAGCTCGGTGCATAAAGTCAAGGAATGAACTCTCGGACATAGCTCCAAGTTCTCATTAATAAGAAAGAGGGGGCGGGTTGCTCTTAATATTGTACTTGATATAAGATGATGTGAATTTACTAATTAAATGCTTACAAAAAGTTAAATCTCAATAGTTTCATTTTTTTGGTGGCATTGTGAATATTTCCTGAAAGATCTTCTTCCTTTATTAGATAGAAAGATTTAGAGTCATATCACATTTTGTTGTCATTGAAATTAAAGTGACCTCAAGAGCTGGTTTATAAAATATAACAAATTTGCTAAGCTCTGGAGGTTTATCTATTGCTTTAAGAAGCCTACTGGACTCCTTCTATTCCAAGAACATCTTTTGACTGTTGAACACAGAAAACAAAAATGCAACATCTTTTCATGGAGATTTTATTTGTAGCAAATGTTTTATAGAATATTTTAAAACAGTACTAACTTTAATAAATCTAGAAGTTTCCTGAGGAAGAAAAGGTGTTTCTTCTTCATGATACCATACTTAAGTTCTAGGAATCATGTCAAAATCTGGGTAGTTGACATTCAAAAAGAAAGATGGCAAATCTAAAGCAATGTTAAAGGCAAATGTCTTTGGTGTCAGAGAGCTTTGATGCAGTTTTGTTGTGGCAGTTTGGGAGCAGACTAAATCAAATCCAGAAATACATTTTGATCCAATTTGGAAAGGAAAATATATGGCTGGTCAAATACCTAAAACTTCTGCCAAACAGGCATCATAGCTTCTAAAATTACATAATTCTGAAGAACTCAGAATGTCTAATCCCATCCTACAGAGTCCTTGTTATAAGAAATAACAGGGATTATTTTTTAAAAACAGGCTTATGCCTTCAACTGGCAGAATTATCTAATATTCTTCTGAAAAGTCTAGCTAAATAAATAAAACACTAAATTTTGAAGTGTTTTATTGTTCTTGGAAAGGCAGAGAACAAGGCATTGATATATAATTTAAAGAAAATATTGAAAAATATCATAACGCTAAAAAAGAAAACAAAAACTTGATCTAAGTAAATAGTAGGAATAACCAAAATTTTCCCTTTAAAATATTTTTATTTAAAGAAGTCTTTGTGTACAAAAATATTGATCACATTGCTATACTACTGCTACTAATAGCAAAGGAAACAATGTTAAGTATGCATGTTAATCAAGGAGTGGTCAACTGAATCATGGTACATACACAGAATGGACTTATACAACCACTAAGTTATTTTTATGACAATGGATATTACTCTAAAATTTTCTGCAACATTTCTGCCCTATTGTTAAGCCTGAAGTGCCTTTTGTCTAAGGTCCTGAAGTTTCCTCTTAGTTATGTGATTTGTCTGCTTGTTTTAGGTTCCGTAATTCTTTCTGTTGTTTTTATTCACTATGGCATACTGGAGCAAATGCAGTATATTATGATTCTCTAAACAGTGAGACCACTGTCCAGGTAAATTATGCAGTATATTTACTAAAGAATGAGGATAAAAGCTTTCATTTTACCCATATCATGTTCAGTGATTTGAATATCACAGCTCAAAAGTCCTGTCAAGGAAAGCAAACACAGTTTGCATTATGATATGTACATGGTACATATTTTCACAAAGAATAACATTATTTTGTGTGCACACAAAATGCAAATTCATGTATTGATTTCAATTTTTATTGAATTCAATAATAATACATTATTCTACTACTATTAAAAATAACCATAACAGCTACGGAGTGTCAGATTTCTTGGTGTTAAGCAACTGACATATAATCAGATGAATGTACA
This sequence comes from Homo sapiens, assembly GCF_000001405.40. Lineage (NCBI taxonomy): Eukaryota > Metazoa > Chordata > Mammalia > Primates > Hominidae > Homo > Homo sapiens. The sequence goes on along the minus strand of NC_000009.12, from coordinate 30,630,806 downwards.
ATGACATAAGATGTTTTTGCAGCTTGAAGTAGTTGAATTCTAGACAGCTCTAAATGGACAAAAAGAAAGGAAGGCTAAGAGGCAGGGAACACAGGAAATACCCATTTGGTATTCTATAGAGCACTGTCTCCACTGAGTGCTTGCCTCTGATGGATTCTCAATTGTATTGCTACAGGTGGAATCTCAGTGCTCCCACAGCTACTGTGAATAATTAATCAACTATCCCTGAGGCTTTGTTTCATGGCCTCCAAATAGAAAGGTATTTGCATATTGTGTACCTGAAACATTGATGATCTCTCCTATGCAAACAGCTCTACTCAGGTGTCCAATAACCAGAAATGTCTTTTATCACACAATTAGTCTTCTGAAAATGTTCCTAGCATACATATGGTAATTATGCCTCATACAACTAATTATGTCTCATATACATTTGTCTTTCCCAGAGGAAATAACTTTAATTCCATCAATTATAGCTTTAAATCCTATATCTCTGGATGACATCCTTTCCATCTCAAGTTTTATAATTAATCACAAGACATTTTGAGATTAAACCACAGATATAACCAGCACGATGATACCCTATGTTAAATAGTAGAGAAAATAGAAATGAAGTTATATTTTTTATTAGTAAATAAAATTAATATTTCCTTTTTTTATTTGTCAGGTCTTTTTGAGAAAATTCTTTTCTCTGAAATTCATTCTTTGTTCCCTTTGATTTTTACCATCACCACAGCTGGCCGGTGTTCTTGATCTGATAAGGATATGCAGCCCATCACCCCCGAAGTATTTCACTCCTTGGTAACCTGCCTATTGGATTGCAACTTCTTCATCTGGTTTTTGTCAGCAGGCATATTAGTGTGAAGATACGTCCAGAGAAACTCTATAGTCATTGATATAGGAGGGAAAACCACAGCTAATTAAAAATTTTAAGTGGTTCTATTTTAGGACCAACAGGTATATATGCCTGCTTTTCATTAACAGACTAATACACTGAGACAGCAGGGTTTGTATTAGAAAAAGTTTAATGATCACAGGGTGTGGAGCAAGGAGATGAAAGAAAAGCCTCAAATCCATGTCCCAAAGGAGTCCTGGGCTTGGATTTTTAAGAATGTCATAGAGTACAAGGGCCTGGAAAATTGGGGTAATTGATTGGTCAGGGAAAAGGGGATAAAATTATCAGAATGTGGAAACTGCATTCTTTGGTGAGTCAGTTTCTTCTGGGATCCTTCAGACTAGCTGGTGTCAATGGGGTCTTTCAGAGCTGTTGGCATCAGTAGTTTCATCGGTGTGCAGGATCTGCTTTAAAGAATATCTCAGAGGGAAAACTTAATGTTTCATAATATTCAAATCGTTGTCTATAGAGCAGTTAAGGGGTATGATAATCTTGTAACAGGGACTATGTGATTCTGAGGCAATAGACAAACAACTATGAGGAAGAGGTCACAGGGTTACATAATGATTAACTGAGAGTGCTACCAGCTTGGTTTATTTTTGTTTCTCTCCCTGCCTCCTCTCTGATTAATTGTATAAAGTTTATAGGGATACTATCAGTTCCACTCAATTCCAGCCTTTTTTTTGACTTTAACCTAAGGATTCTGAGAATGGGAATAATAAAACCATTTATATCTCACTGCCTGTACACATACAATTCATCCCACAGAAAACCATGTGCTTGCAGTGTGTCCTTCCAATGCTTGAGCTGTAGCCTATACTTCACATATTGCACCATTTATTAGCCCACTTGTTTGAACTGTCACAACCACTTGGATCACTACACTAATGAATTAGTTTGATTAAAAGAATATTACCAGAATCCCAAAAGTAGTTTTTTACCCACACCCAACACTAATCTAAATATTTTAAATAAATGTCATTATTTCAGTGTGTTTTTCAACTCCCTTTCTGTATACTTACTCAATGTCTTTCTATCATTTTGAAGCAAAGACCCGCATGCCTCTGCAATAATACTTAATTCCTTCTCTGGCTTTACTTTGAACTAGATATATTTTATAAAATTTCCTGCTTTTGGAATCCTTATGATTAGTTTGATAATGTTCCTTTGTTATTGACATTTTTTAACTGAACAAAACCTACAGAAGGAAGAAAATAAATAGGAATGCTCAAATGCATATTTGTTCATAAATGGCACCAGTTTTTAAATGTTTAACATTTATTTCTTTGTTTTTGTTTGTGCAAATGTATGGGATCAAGAGAAATTTTGTTACATGTATCCAATTTGTAGTGACCAAGCCAGGATATTCAGTGTCCATCACCTGGGTACAATACAATTTCGTGAAGTGTAGTTATCCTACTCTACTATCAAACATTGAATTTATTCCTTCTATCTTATTTATGTATATTCCATTTAAAATGTATTTTGCTTTTCTCTTTTAAGTTGTGTTAAAGTAGTGCATTTTTCTTTTTATTTTTCACTTTCTATTTGTTCATATTCGCATTTTTGTTCGTATATTTTTTCTCTTATTCAGTCTGATATGAAAAACTGACAAATGAGTATAGTAAATTATTTTTTGTTCCGTTATTAGAGTGGTATAATACTGCTGGTTTTGTAATCCAAACAAGAGCACACTCAAGGGTTTCTTATTCTAAATATTTACATTAAATGGTTTCTAGATTGCTCATATATTACATATGGTTGGTACTGACGATATATAGCAATGAATATCTTGAAGAAATATAAAATATATTTGTTATTATTTAAATGTTTCAAGATATTATGAAATAAAGTGATTTTGTATTAATATGCCATTATGCTGTCTTTGTTCCTTTCAAAGGTATAAATAATTAGAGTATATACAGCATTAATTAATAGAAATAAGAGACATGAATACTAGCATATTTAAAAAGTTAAAATAAGACTATTGTTTGTGAAATTTTAATTTTTATCTTGTGAAATTCAAAAAAATCTAACATAAAAGAGTAGTGTTTAACTACATAGCAACTGATTTCTTTTATAAAAAAGGTGTACTAAATTCCAAAATTAACATGCTACTGTATTAGTTAAAAATATTTAGGAGCATTGTAGGTGAGAAGACAGTAATAGGTATTGAAACAAGCAGGCACTCTGGGTCTGAGATGCACTCAGGTTTATATGATTACCAGGAAAGCAACTCAGCAATCCTTGAACTATCAGTGAGAGGAACTGCAGGAAAAGCAGCAAAGTCAATTATAAAAATAGAGTATTGAAATATTTCCTTTTTACAGAATTATTTAGATATTATACTAATTACTTCTTATATCTCATTCTTAAATATTTTGCTTAATAAAGTTTGAGTTCTTATACCATGTTATTTTTCTATTTTTAGGTTAAACACTGAGACATTAGAAAAGAATTTCTGACACATTGAAAATTAGCACAATTTTTGCGTCTTTTCTTTCTTTCTTTTTTTTTTTTTTTTTTTTGAGACAGAGTCTCACTCTGTTGCCCAGGATGGAGTGCAGTGGTGCGATCTCAGCTCACTGCAAGCTCCACCTCCCGGGTTCACGTCATTCTCCTGCCTCAGCCTCCTGAGTAGCTGGGACTACAGGTGCCCGCCACCTCGCCTGGCTAATTTTTTTGTATTTTTAGTAAAGACGGGGTTTCACTGTGTTAGCCAGGATGGTCTCGATCTCCTGACCTCGTTATCCTCCCGCCTCAGCCTCCCAAAGTGCTGCGATTACAGGCAGGAGCCACCACGCCTCTCCAATTTTTGAGTTTTTTCATTTGAACTAGATGAACTCTAAGGTCATCCTTTGCAATAATTTTCTTGTTTATTGGCTTTTTCTACATTCAGAATTTCACTTGTACTTATTATACATATTAAAAATGACTCGTTTCAAATATTTATTCCTTGAGTCTAATCATAAACTCAAAAAAATACAGGAAGAGTGTAATAAAACAGTCATTTTTGTTTTGGTTTGGTTTGATTTGTTTTGTTTTTATTTTGTCCAGTTATAAGTAGTTTTTTCTATCACTTCTCCACATTTTTCATACCAGTGAAACTGAGGTTGGCTTAATTTTCACTCACAAGTATGTTTCAGTCATGATATTGCTATTTGTCACGATAATCTAAAAATCTGAGGACAGGCACGGTGGCCCACGCCTGTAATCCCAGCACTATTGGGAGGCAGAGGTGGGCAGATCACTTGAGGTCAGGAGTTTGAGACCAGTCTGGCCAACGTGGTGAAACCCTGTCTCTACCAAAAATACAAAAATTAGCTGGGTATGGTGGTGGTGACCTACAAACCCATCTACTGGACAGGCTGAGGCAGGAAAATCACTTGAACCCAGGAGGTGGAGTTTGTAGTGAGCAGAGATCGCTGCCACTTTACTCCAGTCTGGGAGACAAAGTGAGACTCCATCTCAAAAAATAAACACATAAAGTTGAAATTAACACAATATTGTGATTCTTCCCTCTTGTATCTACATAAAACAACAAGATTCACTAAGGAAAGTTATTTAGAAAAGTTATTGTTTAACTATCTCTGGGGATAGATACTCTATGGCTTTAAGTTAAAGAATTCACATTGTCTACATAAGTAATACATTTAGAAATTGCATGAACCATATATTATAGAAGTTATTGATTAATCCATATCAATATTTTAAAAACAAAACAAATCTTGATTTACATTTACTTTTTTAATGGACTTTTAGTTTTCCAGTCATACAAAATATTGGCATTTCAATGTACGGCATAATTAGTGCTAGCCCAGCAAATATTTATTCTATAAATTCCATATTTTAACACATTTTATTTCCTTCTGTATTAGTTTAAGTATTTCCCCCCTTCTTCATTACACAAATAATATTTTCTCTCAGTAGAGGAAGAGAAAACTAAAGAAAATAAGTCAAATCCTATTAAGATTTTGGAGTTTAACATATTTTTTCTATGTGCACTTTCACGTAGTTGTACAAATAAATGATAAGTACATTTATAGCCTAAATTATTTTCAGTAAATATTAAAACATAATAATCTTCTATTAATTTCTCTCCTAAATCATTGGCTGCTCATTCTTTACTGATTATTCCTTTTCTTCTCAATGACTAAATGTTGGAGAATCCCAGTTTCATTTTCTCTTTTCTAAATACACATACTTTTATTATCTCCTGTAGTCTCAAAGATTTCAATTCCAATTGTAAGCTCCTGGCTATCATCTCTCCCCTGAGTTCTTTTTAACATATCCAACTAAATACATAACAGCCAGCTCTACATTGCTTCCTTTCCATTCTTCCCCACTTCTTTAAATAACACCACTCTGCTGTTCAGGCCAGAAATAGATCTTCAAATTGCTTACTTTTTCTCATTTCTCATATTCTGTTTTTCAATAACATTTACAGGATCTATGTTCAAAATACTTTGTTCTTACACTTCTCAAAACTTCAAAGCCTCAATAACTTCTGAACTAGTCTCCTCAAACTCTTGCCCTACTACCCACCATCTATTCCCCATAGAACACTTTATATTACAATCCATTATATATCTCATTTAATCCTAATGAAAACCACATGAGGTTTATACTATTGTATTATTCCCATTAAACAGATGAGGAGATTGAAGCATCTAGATTAAGCAATTTGTCTGGAGCTACACAGCTAGTGAAGAACAAATCTCAGATTTGGATCCATGTAGTATGGCTCCATACTTCACACTTTTAAAAATATTTTAGTTTTAGTCAACAAATAATAATTATATATATTTATGGGGTATAATTTGAAGTTATGTATACATTGTAGGATGATTAAATAAGACTAATTAGCATATCCATCACTTCCCATACTTATTATTTTGTGATGAGAACATGTAAACTCTACACTTCTTAGCAATTTTAAAATGTACAGTAATTATTATTAACTATCATTACATTCTGTGCATAGATCAGTAGGACTTAATCCTCCTACTTAACCAAACTTTGCATCATTTGACTAATATCCCCTTTACCCTGTTTAACACCCCAACCACAAAGGAAAACCTATAATAGATGCACAGAAAGTAAAAACCTACAGTATATACACTGACAATGAAAATCTATAGTAGGTACACAAAAGATAAAAACAAAAGATTCAAAGCATGGCACTACAGAGTCCACACACTTATTCACTTCATGATGCTACTTTTGTAAGAAACTAATATCATGAGAGTCAGATCATGTTACTTCCCCAGTAAAGGTCCTCCAATAACTTTATATCACCCTTCTAATAAAATCCAAACTCCTATTATAGCCTATTGAGATCTTGCATGACTTGACCCTTGTTTGCTTCTCCAAAATTACCTCTCATTTTGCTTTCAATAATTTGATTATCTTGTAATTGTGCTGCTAAAAATATTTTACCCTCCATTTAGAATTATTTTTTTGGTACATTATCTTAAAACCACTAAATACTGTATGGCTTTAGAAAAAAAATTGGCAATAAGATTTTCAGTGGATACTCCTATTATCTAAGAAAGATAAAGTCTCAACTTACATTTTTATAGTGGTTAAATAATATAGATATAATTTTAATAGATAGTCAAAAGAACACAATCAGTAATATGAGCCTAGAATAAAATCCCACACATTTATATTTGTCATTATTTATTCCAATTTTAATCATATGCATATGCATTGATTGGAGTAATATATACTATTCATATAATATATAGAACATTCTTAAAGTTAAAAAGAAAATACTGTGAATAATCTTACAACTGCAATGAATAGAGCTAAACTTACTTTTATACTTTTTATTTTTTAAATTTTTGATAGTAATATTCAAATGTTTCTTTTTTAACTTGATAATTTTATATGAGTAGTGATATTAAATATTATTTTATATATAATTACATGTTTCTACAATGCATATATTTATTACACATATCTGTATATTTTACTGCTTTTGAATTGTGCATTTATACCCTTTTCATTTTTAGCTTATGTACTCAAAGTATATATTTTCACTCTGACGTAAATTATTCTATATTCATTACATATTTAAACATTGGTATATCTGCAAAAATTTTTGTTCTGTCTGTTATTTTAACTTTCATTATAACACATACAGAATTGTTTGCCTTTTTTATAAAACATTTATTCAAGTATTTATTTGTGATTTTCATCTTTACTAATATTTTTCTATAAAAACTAGTAAATTCTTCCCTTTTGTCTTTTGAATAATATTAGTGTTTTAATTTTGCAATTTTACTCTCAAATAGGTGGCTAATATAACTCTAGCTTAGTTTTAATTTGTATTTGTTTTGTTATTAACAATATACATATTCATTTTTCATGTATTTAATGGTTGCTTATTGTTTTTGCTTTAAATTTTCATGTAATTTATACATTTTTCTATTGGAATGCTGTTTTTACATATTTTAGTTAGTGTACATAGCTTATGTTGTTCTTCTTTTGTAATATGAAATCTATAAAAACACAACTGGGCCAGGATGGGTTACGATCACTGTCTCTTCACACCACGATTATGCTCCTTGTCTTCTCCCATTCATTAATAGAAAAGAAGATAAGGCCAACCTGACATTTTCTATCACAGGCAAGTTTTGATTTTATCTTTCTTAGACCTTTCTGGGATTATTTCTTTACTAATACATTTTAAAATTTCACCAGAATAAATCTAGAGGTAAATCACTTCATCAATTTTGCATGACATCTTTGGTCATGGAATTTCTGGATCAACATATTTTTGTTTAGGATTTATTCTCCAAGTTCTATTGCTTTTTCTCCATCTACTTTATTATTTTATATAAAAATACCTATTATTCCTTGATTTTCTCTATGTCCTCATATATACATACTTCTTGCTCATTGATTCCATATTTTTATGAATTATTCTCTCATTCATTACTAGAGGCTTTCTTTTTCCTTACCTATTAATTAAGCACTGGTCCTAGAGATCTGCCAGAACAGACTATTCAAAGACAATATTCCCTTTACTGTTGCCCTAAATTTATGCTTTCAGACACTGTTAACATTTCCATTTCATCATTTTATATTAACCTTATTCAGAATCCACTGAAATTCAAATTAGATCACTAGTTCTCTCATTGCCGCAGGCGATTGATTCATCTCTTAAAAACGTATTAGGCCACTTTTCCTTTATTTTCCTTTGATCTCCCTTGATATTTAATCACGCTTGGTTTCATTTCCAGATCTACAGTCCTGGTACTGTATCCTGCTATATTTTTATGTTATAATTTAGGTACATATTTTCACTTATTATATTATTTTTCTTTTTTGAATATATTTCTGAATATTTTTGCATTTGATTATGGAATTGAAACATTATTCTCACAATATTATCTGATTTTTATGCAAATATTTTCACCAGTGAATGTACAATATAGAATTAATAAAAGGAAAATTAACTATAAAGTCTAAAATATAAAGTAAAAAGTAAATGGTTTCATTTTTTATTTTGTATATTAATCTTTGCTTCTTTTATTTTTTCACTTAATCTACTTCAAATCAATATTTGTCAAAAGTCTTGCTGGAAAGGCAGTCCTTTGAGAGATTGACTTCTGTAAGCTAGTGGAAAATTATAAATATGAGTGCTTATAAAGAATATGACATTAACAGGAAACTATGAAATAGTGAAATTCAGATTAAGCCCCAACGACCTGATAAAACCGAAACATTATGACATTAAACATTGTGATATTTAAAAGGACATAGATAGTGAGAAATAATGTAGGAGGTAAACATTGTATGGGACAATAGTGAAATATTGATGAAAGCTGAAAACCTCACTCCTATAAATTTTTTGTTCACACTTTCAAGCAAAATAAGATTTGAAGTTGAAGTGCTATAAAAGAGATCATAAGACATTTTCAAATACCACACTGGATAATCAGCTTTTAAGATATTTCTTTAAATACATACATATTCCTTTCCTGGGAAAATTTGGTACAAATTCATGGGGAAAGTTACTGATAATATAAAAGAATTACTAGTTATCTAAGAATAACTGGCAAAAGGAAAATTACATAAGCATGCCTGTACATACACATGCACATGTGCATAGTCACACACATATATAACCTATGATAGAACAGCATGAGGTGTCCAGGAACAGAAGAAAATGTTAATAACTAAAAGAATTTCCTCATAGTTTTTGTTCATGTAAATACATTACATTGCATTAATATTGCAAAACAAGAACTGTCAGAACCAAGTTGGTGAGAACTGTGGGAAACAGTCAAACGTTTATAGCCACCCACAGAACACCAAAACAAGAAAAAGGCAACTTCAAATAAGTAGGACATTTTCATGGTGTTTTTACTTGCCTTTATCTCACCCTCTTGGCGGGGTCTTGAAAATGGCAGTTGATGTTTCCTGTATGGAACCCTAGTCCCTGGTTCTGCAGTGCAGCAGAGCTTAAGCAGAAATTATTGCATCTGCCTTTTTTAACCTGCCTAGTTGCTACGGGAAGGACTGGTATAAGGTGCTAGTCTTTGTCTCACTTAATTTGAAACTCACTCAAGACAGAAAAGTGGTAAGCATTGTTCAAAAACATTGAGAAGCGAACAAAGTTTCACAGCTGCATGTAGCAAAATATTACTTACATTTGAGGTATACAGTGGACTACATAAAGCCTCAGAGGAGAAGCATACAAAATCAAAACATACAAAACACAAATAGTGAAATGGAAGTAACTTTATCACTAATTACTTTAATCTCCAATCAAAAAGTAGGAATTGACAGAATGCATTATAAAATAAAATAGAAATAATCCATGTATATAATTTCTTTAAGAGACTTATTTTACATATGAAGATATATACATTGAAAGTGGAAGAATAGAAAAATAATATTCCATGTGAATGGTAACCAGAAGAGAGCTGGGGCAGCTATATAATATCAGACAACATAAACTTTCATTCAAAACTGATACAAGAGAAAGAGATGGACATTCTACAATGACAAAAGGGTCCATTCATCAACAAGACATACCAATTACAAATATACATCCAATGAACAACAGAGCCCCCAAATATATAAAGAAAGCATTGACATAGTTGATCGATGAAATAAATGGTTGTATATTGATAGACTTCAATATCTCACCTTCAATCGTGGATAGAACAACCGGACAGAAGATCAATAAGAAAATAGAGGACTTCAAGAACACTATAAACCAATTAGACCTAACATACAAACACACAACACTCTACACAATACCAGCAGAATAGACATTTTTCTCAGTGGCACATGTAACATTCTACAAGAAGGTTTGTATGGTAGGCAACAAAATAAGTTTCCATAAATTAAAAAAAGACTGAAAAAATACAAAGAATATTTTCTGACCACATAAAATGCAATTATCAATTAACAACAGGAGGAAAGCTAGGAAATTCACACATATATTGAAAGAAATTAAACACAAAAAACAATAATGTATCCAAGTAGAAACCATAGTGGAATTAGAAAACTCTTAGAGATGAGATAGAAATGAGCACAGCATGCTAAAATGTATGAGATGCTATAATGTGAGGGCTTGGAGAGAAATTTATACCATTAAATAATTAGATTAGAAAAATAAGAAAGATCTCAAATAAATCACTTAACTTTACACCTTGAGAATATAATGAAGATCAAACTAAATTCAAAACTAGCACAAAGAAGAAAACAAAAATTAGAACAGTAATATTCAACACAGTATAGAAAAACAATAAAAAGAGTTGACAAAACAAAAAGATTTTTTCCTGAAGATCAGCAAAATTGACAAAACTTTAGCTACATTAACAAAAAAAAGTAGAAAAATGAATTGCAAAAGAATAATATAGGTGGGGCACGGTGGCTCACGCCTGTAATCCCAGCATTTTGGTAGACCCAGGCGGGTGGATCACGAGGTCAGGAGTTGAAGACCAGCCTGGCCAAGATGGTGAAACCCCCTCTCTACTAAAAATACAAAAATTAGCCGGGCGTGGTGGCGGGTGCCTGTAGTCCCAGCTACTCGGGAGGCTGAGGCAAAGAATTGCTTGAACCCAGGAGGCAGAAATTGCAGTAAGCCAAGATCACGCCACTGCACTCCAGCCTGGGCGACAGAGTGAGACTCTGTCTCAAAACAAAACAAAAAACGAAGAAAAAAAATTTGTATACCATTAAATAAGATAGCCTATAGTAAATAAATAAATTCCTAGAAACATACAAATTACCTAAACTGCCTCAAGAAGGAACAGAAAATTCGAGTAGACCCACATCATGTAAATAAATTAAATTACAATTTTAAAAAAATCTCAAAAAGTCCAGTACCACATGCCTTCATTTTTGAATTCTACCAAATATTTAAAGTATAATCAACACCAACTCTTCTCAAACTCTTCAAAAATATTGAAGAGTGAAGATTTTCTAATTCATTCTATGAAGGTATCATTACCCTGATAACAAAGCCAGAAAAAGACATTACAAAACAAAATTACAGACCAATAACTCTTATGAAGATAGTTGAAAAAATCCTCATCAAAACACTACCAAACCAAATCCAACAGTAGACTAAAGGATTACACACTATGACAAAGTGGGACTTATCCCAAGAATGCTGGTGGTTCAAGGTAAGAAAATCAGTAAATGTAATACACTAATTAATAAAATGAAGAAAGAAAATATGTTATTTTTATGTGACACAGTGTAGGCATTTAGAAAAATGCAACAACATTTCATGATCACAATATTCAGAGAATTGAAAATACAAGAAAACTTCCATAACATGGTAAAAGATTTTGTGTAAAACCCACCATTGACATCTTGCCTAATGGTGACAGACTGCATTCAGTCAACATTAATTAAATGCTTATATTTCAGGAACAGGGTTAAGCAGTATTGATAAATATGACGACTAAGGTGCATATATACTAGAGGACAATAATTACGTAGCTCTTCAGAAATAAAGAAATATAAGCAAAATATGTAAATAGATATTTTATATAAATGCTCTCATTAATAAAGTGTATATGGAATTATATAACTAAAAATATGGTATCAACAAACTAAAATAAAAAAACAAAAGAAAATAGAAAGTATAAAATTAGAACATAATATAATACTAATTCAGTACAAGAGTGATTTTGCAAAGTATTATTCAGTCAATTGTATTGGAACACATATTTAATATTAGAAACAATTTATAAATGAATCTTGTGTCTGTTACTTTGCTAGAATTATTAAAATTCATGTCACTTATCTGTTTGCTTGCAAAGTTCTAAAATATTTTAAAATCTAGAATTAATAAGTCTTCATTATATTCGGCTGTAAGCATTTCTTGTCGCTGATCCATAAATGACTAAGCTGCATTTCAGCAATCCCCCTCCCACTACCACCAATACAAATTATAGAATCTCTCAATAATAATTTCCTTCCACTCATAAGACCAGCAGTTGACACCAGATTGCTCTGAGTTATCTCTTTTTGCCATGATAAGCAAAATGTGAGGTGATTAATTTGACTACTTGAGGAATATCTTATAAGTGAAATTGTGCAGTATGTGTCTTTATATTACCAGACTCCTTGGCATAAGTTTCTCAAGGTTAATCCATGTTATAGTATCTGTTTGAATTTCCTTCCTTTTTAAAGCTTAATAATATTTTATTGTATCTATATACCACATTTTTTTATCCATTCATCTGTTGATGCATACTTTGGTTGCTTCTACCTCCTGATTACTGTGAATAATGCAACTATAAACAAGAGTGTGTATAATAGCTCATTCTCATGCTGCTAGTAAAGACATACCTGAGACTGGGTAATTTATATAGAAAAATAGATTTAATGGACTCACAGTTCCACATGGCTGGGGAGGCCTCACAATTATTGTGGAAGGTGAAGGAGAAGCAAAGTCATGACTTACATGGCAGCGAACAAGCAAGACAGCTTGTGCAGGGGAACACTCATTTTTAAAGTCATCAGATCTCATGAGACATGTTCACTACCATGAGAACAACAGCATGGGGGTAACCAGCCCCATGATTCAATGACCCCCCACCAGGTATGGAAACTACAATTCTAAATGAGATTTGGGTGGGGACACAGCCAAACCATATCAGTTTGCAAATATCTCTTGGATTCTCCAAAATAGAATTGCTGGATCATATGACAATTCTATTTTTACTTTTTTGAGGAACTGCTGCACTGCTTTCCAAAGCAGTTTCATCATTTTACTTGACCACCAACAGTGCGGAAGTGTTCTATTTTCCCCATATTCTCACCAACACTTTGCTATTTTCTGTTATTTTGGTAGAGGCCATTGTAATGTGAGATGATATCTCTTTTGTGACTTTCATTTGTGTTTTCCTTAACGAATAGTGAGACAGAGCATATTTTCATTTGCTTGCTGTCAATCTGAATATCATCTTTGGAGAAATGTCTAAGTTGTTTCCATGTTTTTAATTGAATCGCTTTTTTGTTTTTGTTGTTCTTGAGTTGTAGGAGTTATTTGTATATTCTGGATATTAACTCCTTTTCAGATACATGATTTGCAAATATTTCCTCCTGTTTAGTAGGTTGCATTTTTACTCTGTTGATATAACCTCATGAATAATAGAAAAATAAGTTGAAAACACTTGAAATTTATAGATTATTAAAAAATTCCTTTCAAAATAGAAACCGAAACTCAAACCATTAAGGACTATTTCCGAAATATTCACAGAACATTGCATATATAATGGTGAATTATTGATGCCTTTTTCCTAAAGATAAACAGTCAAAGAATGGCTACTACTACCATTTCAACTAAATATTGGACTGGATGCAATAGAATTTAAAAATACTAGAAAAAAATTATTATATGAATATTATAAAAGGTGAAAAAATGAGAAAATATTATTTTTGAATATATTATTATTATTATTATTATTATTATTATTATTTTGAGATGGAGTCTCACTCTATCGCCCAGGCTGGAGTGCAGTGGTGTGGTCTCGGCTCACTGCAAGCTCCGCCTCCCGTGTTCACACCATTCTCCTGCCTCAGCCTCCCATGCAGCTGGGACTACAGACGTCCGCCACGATGCCCTGCTAATTTTTTGTATTTTTAGTAGAGATGGGGTTTCACCGTGTTAGCCAGGATGGTCTCGATCTCCTGACCTCGTGATCTTCCTGCCTCGGCCTCCCAATGTGCTGGGATTACATGCGTGAGCCACCGCGCCCGGCCTGAATATATTATTCTTTATATAGTAAAAACAAAAGAACATCAAATTTTAGAATTAATAAGTAAACTTAACAAGATTTCTGGATGCCATGTTAAAATTCATAACACTATATACATGCATACTATCAACAAATGAACAAAAGTAAATTTAAGAAGAATACTATTTATACTTGCTTCAAAACTCAAATATCACCAAGAGAATGATTTGAAGAATGTTGCCCAACCTTCTACACTGCAAACTGTACAGTATTATGAAAAAAGTCATGTAATAATCAGTGAACTATATCCTCCTTTATGACTGGCAGATTAATATTTAGAAAATTATTCTTCCCAAGTTGATGTATAGACAGATTTCAATCCCAGTTCTAACTCCATAAATGTATTTGATATTGACATGCAGAATCATTGTAGAAGTTGATAAGATAACGTTAGTCCATTCTCAGGTTGCTATGAATAAATACCTGAGACTGGGTAATTTATGAAGAAAAGAGGTTTAATTGACTCACAGTTCCAGATGGCTGGGGAGGCCTCAGGAAACTTATAATCATTGCGGAAGGTACCTCTTCACAGGGTGGTGGAGAGAACGAGTGCAAAACGAAGCAGGAAGCCACG